>NW_025791803.1:0-179513 GCF_000001405.40 Homo sapiens | reverse complement strand
CAAAAAGCTTCAGTTTTGCAAATCTATTTGTCTAATCAGTATGTGGTTTGTAATTTCGAAGATACTTGCCAATCATTTTATACTGTGAATCACTCACCGCATATTCAACGTACATTCAGATGAACACTCAATGTATGAGAACAACAAATATGCTACTACAACCTCTAAAATCAGAGTTTATTCCATAACATATTCTTTAAATTGGGTTTTTTGGCTTTTATGTACTACTTTTGCTTGATCAGATATGGAAAATATAATTGCTTTAAATGAACATATTTACAACAAATCATTTTGGGATGGAGTTCTTTTTAATTCTTTTTTTTTTTTTTTTAGTTCAAATATCCATAGTTTTCCCATACTTCCCTTCAGAAATAAAGCTCTACAGGAACCAGTGGGGCATACAGAACTAGGGGAGATACACAGAAGGTTCTAATTTGCTTAGAAACTGGGTTAATGAACCACAATTAAAAGCTACACATGGCCGGGCGTGGTGGCTCACGCCTGTAATCCCAGCACTTTGGGAGGCCAAGGCAGGTGGATCACCTGAAGCCAGGAGTTGGAGACCAGCCTGGCCAACACGGTGAAACCCCCGTCTCTACTAAAAATACAAAAATTAGGCAGGCGTGGTGGTGGGCGCCTGTAATCCCAGCTACTTGGGAGGCTGAGGCAGGAGAATGGCTTGAACCCAGGAGGCAGAGGTTGCAGTATGCTGAGATCTCCCCATTGCACTCCAGCCTAGGAGACAAGAGCGAAACTCTGTCTCAAAAAAAAAAAAAAAAAAGCTACACACCTACAATTTGTCAGTTTCAATTAGAAACTTGCTATTTGGCACCACGAAGGCAGGTTAAGGAGAGATGTAAGATTTAACTGATAACATTCAGCTTTCTGGCTGTCCACCTGTGCAACTGTCATTTCCCTAACCAAGGAGGTGATTACTTCTAAAATTGGTAATACTCATTCAACTTAGACCCTAAATACTAGGTTTAGCTGCAATATTATCAGGTTAAGGAATTTTATATTACCCACAAGAATGTGAGCTCAAAATGTCAATATGGCACACATCCACTTCTTTTAACTGAGTCTACTGCACTAAGTTGCTAAGCGATACCCATCAGAGTGCAATATGTCTGTAATCAGCAGTGGCTAGAAATGCATTTCTGCTTTAATCACACCGAATATTAGAAATCCAACCAAAACAGCAATCATAAACAGAGTTGCCATCTTTAGACATGCACATGCTCCCTGGGGGCGTTAAGTGGTCCAACAGGCAAACTCTTAGCTGTAATAAGAAGGAAAGCTTAACTCCCCCTGGGCCCAGTAAAGCAAAGTACAGATAATATAATCCAAAATTCAAAAGTTTTATAAACAGTTGAAACTATTAAGATTCTTTTTTTTTTTTTTTTTTTCTGAGATGGAGTCTCGCTCTGTCACCCAGGCTGGAGTGCAGTGGCGCAATCTCGGCTCACCGCAAGCTCCACCTCCCAGGTTCAGGCCATTCTCCTGCCTCAGCCTCCCAAGTAGCTGGGACTACAGGCACCCACCACCACACCCAGCTAATTTTTGTATTTTTAGTAGAGATGGGGTTTCACTGTGTTAGCCAGGATGGTCTCGATCTCCTGACCTCATGATCGGCCCGCCTCGGCCTCCCAAAGTGCTGGGATCACAGGCGTGAGCCGCCGCGCCCGGCCAACTCTTAAGATTCTTATACAACTATCTCTCAGTACATGCAGGGCTTTTTCTCCCCTCAATAAAAATGTAAGCGATGGCTCACGCCTGTAATCTCAGCACTCTACTAAAAATAACAAATGTTATCCAGGAGTGGTGGCAGGCGCCTGTAATCCCAGCCACTTGGGAGGCTGAGGCAGGAGAATCACTTGAACCCAGGAGGCAGAGGTTGCAGTAAGCCAAGGTCGCATCATTGCACTCCAGCCTAGGCAAGAATCATGAAACTCCGTCTCAAAAATAAAAAAAATAAAATAAAGTCTTCTAAATATATTTAATGGATTAGAACAAATTTTATGGGATACTTAGGAAAAGTATCTCCCTGATGGTCAAGCATTCACTACTTTTCATACTGAAGCTCTTATTAGATCTATGTCACTTAACCTTCCCATGCCTCAGTTTTCTGACTAAAAGACATTTTCAACCGTAAGGTGAACTCTAATTTGAATTAAACATTTATCACTTATATAATAAATTAATATATTAATTTATTTTATATATATACTATATATAATATATATAAGTACCTTATGTTAAACACTGAAAACCCTTACATTTTTGTATCTCAAGGTCAGAGACTTTAACTTTCTAAGAGAAAAATGTGAGGAATAGGCCAGGCACAGTGGCTCATGCCTGTAATCCCAGCACTTCGGGAGGCCGAGCAGGGGGTGGGGGGCAGATCACCTGAGGTCAGGAGTTCAAGACCAGCCTGACCAACATGGTGAAACCCCCGTCTCTACTAAAAATACAAAAATTAGCCAGGCACGATGGTGCACACCTGTAATCCCAGCTACTTGGGAGACTGAAGCAGGAGAATCACGTGAATGTGGGAAGCAGGGGTTGCAATGAACCGACATCAAGCTACTGCACTCCAGCGTGGGCGACAGAGCAAGACCTTGTCTCAAAAAAAAAAAGTGAGGAATAATCTCTCCTATATATCTTTCTCTTAATTACAACATAAGGAATGCAGAAAAATGCTGTTTTAAAAACTAATGTCCTTAATTTTTAACAGATGGTGGTGAGTTTGATTCCACAATATGCATAACAAACAACGAAGCCTTAAGGTCTTTTAAAGCTAGGGACAGAAGGAGAAACACTTTCTTGCTTTACTGGGTATATAATCAAAATCATTCCTCCTTTTTTTTTTTTTTTTTTTTTGGAGACAAGAGTCTCGCTCTGTCGCCCAGGCTAGAGTGCAGTGGTGTGATCTCAGCTCACTGCAACCTCCACCTCCCGGATTCAAGCAATTCTCCTGCCTCAGCCTCCCGAGTAGCTGGGATTACAGGCGCCCGCCACCATGCCCAGCTAATTTTTGTATTTTTAGTAGAGACGAGGTTTCTCCATGTTGGTCAGGCTGGTCTCAAACTCCTGACCTCAGGTGATCCACCTGCCTTGGCATCCCAAAGTGCTGGGATTACAGGCGTGAGCCACCGCGCCCAGCCCAAAATCATTCCTCTCTTAAGTATCTTTTTCCAATATGGCAAATAAGCCTAGAGATGAACAGGTAAGAAGTAAAAAAATAAAATTAAGAAAAAACTGAAAAAAATTTTTAATTTTTAAAATTTAAGGAGAATTGCGGCGTGGATCCTTCAATTTCCTACATCCAGATTCTGCTGTCCACAAGGTTCAGCTTTGGAAGTCTTCTATGTGCCTTTTAAATCCTTTCTTAAAATTACAGAGTCTTTTCTACCAAGTTTTAAATCTAACGCTCTATCAATAATGTAATCTTTTATATGCAGTAACATTATACTTCAGATGGATTAGTAGTTTAGTTTAGATGCCTTTGGGTCTGGAAGCATACGAATGGATAAAACAATTCCTTCAAGTCTCTGACAGCTTCATAACTCTATTTTATCTACATAGCTTCTTCTCAACTTCCTCTGTCTATTCCAAGATATTTTCCAGGTAGGTCTGAAACGCTGAGTCCCGTAAAGAAATGTTTATGCATCAAATAACAGAAGAGCTCTTCCCCCACCCCTTCAGCTCCCATAATGTTTTACCATTATATCCAGTAAACAAAATAGGTTGACTCAATCTTAAACAATTCCCCCATCACAGGAAGCCCACTGCACCCACAGCTGCAGAAAGCATCCCTTAAACCATCCCCAACTACCTACAGCAACACAAAGTTAAACCAATTTCCACTGACAAAAGGCTATGTGTGCATTTATTCTAATCAGCCCCAGGATTTATTGTGTGAAACTCAGGCGATAAAAAGTCACCTCCTCAAGCTACAAAACTTTTTTTTCATCCCAAATATTCTCAATGAAAGTTCTCTTGTCAACCAGGAGAGAGTCAAAAACAACCACAAACACTAGCAGAATGATCCGCTCCAGGACCACATCCCAGCTGGCTTTGCTCTGTTGTCGGTGGCTCTGAAGCAGTTTCTCACTTTCCTTTCACCCTTCTCCCCTTTACTCCCCAACATTCTCACTCGAGAATGCATCACATCCTCAGACCGCTGGCAAAAAAAAAAGGGGGGGGGGAAGAGACTGCAATTATCAAGGAAGGGGAAGATATTTCAGAACCACGGTTTCCACTGCAAACGGCAATAAAAAAAAAAGGCAGTCTGTGTCATCAGGATATGGGGGACGACGTTGTAGGGCATCACAAAGATGTGCAGTGAGTGTGCACTTGAAGCTCTCGGGGCAGGATGAGACGATGGAGCAGAAAGTAAGAAAACCTGTGCCTTCCTTGCTTTCTTCTGCTCTTCCCCCTCCAGGAGAGGAAGCTGAAGAAACTGGGGGAGGGGCGGAATGTTATCGTTCTCCTATTGAGGGTATATAAGACAGGCCTTAGGGTTCGCTCGTCCCCAGTTAGGAGGGTCACGGAGGGAAGAGGAAGAGAGAACCCCTAAACGTTACCCACCTCTGCTCAAAAACAAAAGTAAGGGGGTAATTATTAAATCCAGATGGCGCGCCCCTAAAGGCGCCCCCAGGTCACTCATCCCCATTTCCAAGCGGAAGGGCTGGGATAAAGGGGATGGAGGGTCGGAGGCTGGTCAGGGACAAGGCCCCACCCCCCGACTTAGGAGGGAAAGGGTGCCCAAGCTCCCAGCTGTCCCCTCCTACCCCTCACCTCCCGCCTTGGCCACCCCCACTTATCCCCCCTTCCCTTCTCTTCCCTTCCCTTCCTTTCCTCCAGAGCCTGAGGCAGCCGCGGGGGAGGCGGCCGCTCCTACCTCCCCTCACCTACTCTGTCCCCACCCCCACTCCGCTCCCACCTCCCGCCCGCCACGGGCCGGTTACCTGCTCGTCGAAGCGGCTGACCACGGCCTGGACCCATTCCACCGGCCTGTGCGCGGCCATGTCCTCCCCGCGGCCGGGGGGCGGCGGAGGGAAGGGTGGGCCGGCGCCCTGGGCCGGGAAGAGGGCGGGGAGCGGAGGCTGAGGTGAGGGAAGAGGCAAGGAGAGGGTCTGTGGAGTGCAGGCTCCCAGTGTTCCCACGGGGGTGGGGATGGGGGGTCAGCGCCGAGCGGGAGGGGGAGAGGGAAAGGGGGCGTTGGCAAGGAGGCTGGGGGGAGGGGGATAGGGGAAGGGGACCCGGGGAGGGGAGGGGGCCTCTTGGTCGCTCTCCCCACTAGCGCCGTCTCCCCACAGCCATCACAGTCCGAGACGCCGCCATGACACCCCACCGGAAGTGGGATCCTTTCCACGGCCCGGGGAGAGGGAGCGCGAGCGAGCTAGAGATTGAGAGCGCGGCTGGGAAAGGGGAGGGGGAAGCGAGAGGGAAGGCGGCCTGCCGCGCATGCGCCCGCGCCGGCCGGTTTCATTAATGAAAAAGCGAGTCCTCCTGGAGGTGACGTCATCTAACTCCTCTGGGCCGTCTGGCGAGCGTCCCTCACCGCCGTGGGGCTCACCTAGACTGGCGCTGGGCTCAGCTGGCGAGTGCCAGAGCTGACCCGGGAGCATCCACTCCCATCCCCACCGCCCCCTACAGCTGTCCCCTCCCCCGCCGGCCTCCGGGTTTGGATTGCTCCCGGAGTTGGAAGTTAGGGCGCCCTGGGGCTAGCCTTTCTCCCAGCGCGCGGATCTCTGCCGCTAATCTCCTGGGGAGGCTGTGCTCTCAGCTTAAGCTCTCAGAAAAAATAAGGTACACGACCTCCGATTTTCAGGTTCTTCGTAGCTTGGTAGACTGCTGAGAAACAAAAAAGGAAGGCCAAAGAGAGATTCCGTGATTTTTTTTTTTTAGAGGTCGCTTAAATCCCAATGCTAGACCCGGTGGCAATCAAGGTCTAGCCACCAGGTCTAGCATTGGGATTTAAGCCCAGCTTTCCTCTGCAAAACTCATAGCCATCCAAGTTAATATAACTATTGCACAGTTGATGAGAGATTCAAGTTTCACCACCCTCAAAACACCTTTAAGGCCTTGCATTCATTATTAATTCAATATATTCATCGTCTTATTTAAATCCTTGAACAAACCTTTTCAATACATATCATTAACTTCATGAACTGATGAATACGTCACGTCCCCACCCCCGTGGGAACGCTGGGAGCCTGCACTCCTCCCTCAGACCTTTGATTTGCCCAAGGTCTGAGTTGACAGGTGGCAAAGTCAGGATGTAAACCAACGTGGTTTAACTCCTAGAACAATAGAGGTAGACTATGGGTCTCCTAAAACAAAGTCCTTCCCTATACCTCCAATACCAGAGTTGAAAGGATTTCATGTGTAATTGGGTTGTGCCAGTTTTCCAGGAAGAGGATTACATCCAAAACAACGGATAATCTATGTCTGACATTGGACTTTGGAATGACTAATTTTTTTTTTTTTTTTTTAAGACAGAGTCTCACCCTGTCACCCAGGCTGGAGTGCAGAGGCGCGATCTCGGCTCACTGCAACCTCCGCCTCCCGGTTGAAGTGATTCTTCTGCCTCAGCCTCCCGAGTAGCTGGGACTACAGGCATGCGCCACCACAGCCGGCTAATTTTTGTATTTTTAGTAGAGACGGTGTTTCACCATATTGGCCAGGCTGGTCTTGAACTCCTGACCTCATGATCCGCCCACCTCAGCCTCCCAAAGTACTGGGATTACAGGTGTGAGCCACCGCACCTGGCCTGGAATGAGTAATTTTAAAATTTGTCTTCCTCGATACATTTTACCTAGGCAAATGTTTTTGTTTTTCAGAGACAAGGTCTGACTCTGTGCAGTGGAGTGCAGTGGCTCAATCATAGCTCACTCCAGCCTCAGACTCCTGGGCCGAAGTGATCCTCCCACCTCAAGCTCCTGAATAGCTGGGACTACAGGTGAGTGTCACCCTGCTTTGGCTAATTTTTTTTTTTTTTTTTTTTTTGGTAGAGACACAGTCTTGCTATGTTGCCCAGGCTGGTCTGGAACTCCTGGCCTCAAGTGATCCCCCTGCCTTGGCCTCCCAAAGTGCTGGGATGACAGGGGTGAGCTACCACACAGGCCCCTAGGCCAATGTTAAAATGAATTTACACATTCCAAGCACGCGCTAATCAGCCAGTTAAGCCACACAGACACTGGGTGATAAGGGAGAACAAAACTAGAATTTTAATTTTCCTACAGAAAAGCCACAAAGCCAGTAGCCCACATACAGAGAGATATATCCTTGAGAAAAGTTTCCAATCTCTAGGTTGGTGGTTGTCCAAAATACATATTAAATTAATGTTTTATTCCACTAGAACAGACAGACAGTTTGGACATGTCTTTTGTCCCTTCTTCTTTAAGGATGCAATGCAGATACTAATTTCTTTTAGATGATGTCAGAATGATGACTATGCTGGAAAGAAATGGATGAATATTAAATGAATGTCTATCTATGTTTCTCCCAAGTAGGACCCCTGAAAAAGCACTCACTCATACCCCCAAGATAGTATTCCAGTGCCCCCTACTGCACTGCTAAACTTCAGACCTATGACCTTCCTCTCCTTTTCTCATACTTCCTCTGAAAGTCCCTAACTACTTCCTTGTTGCCATGGCTTTTTGCCTGTCTATCTCCCTGATCTTCTTCCCTACACTGGATGCAACTGCCCAAACCCTCAGCTCCCTTGCCTTCCCTGGCATTCCGTTGCTGAAGTTCCTCTGTGCCTTTCTCTCCTCTTCTTCTCTAGTTTAGTCTACCATTGCCCACTCTTCTTTAGCTCTGTGGTAAGACACCCAAACTTCAGGCCCTGGCCCTCTGCTCTTCTTCCTTTACTCAAGCTCCTGCCAGCATGTCATTAATTCATCCTAATTTGTACTCCCTGTTCTGTTGCCTCCCCTCAGTGCCAAACCTCTCATTATAGTCAGAGGCCTAGACTTCACCCCAACTTCCTCTCCAATTAAATTCATTCAGTTCTGCTGAACCAGTATTAAGTGTCCAAATGGGCCGGTCGTGGTGGCTCACACCTATAATGCCAGCACTTTTAGAGGCCGAGGTGGGAGGATTGCTTGAGCCTAGAAGTTCAGACCAGCCTGGGCAACATAGTGAGATCCCAGCTTCTACCAAAAAAAATTATTTAAATTAGTTAGGCATAGTGGTGTGCATCTGTGGTCCCAGCAACTTGGGAGGCTGAGGTGGGAGGATCACTTGAGCTAGAGAGGTCAAGGCTGCAGTGAGCTGTGATCTCGCCACTGCACTCCAGCCTAGGCAACAGAGCAAGACCCTGTCTCTAAAAAATAAATAAAAATAAAAGTACCCAAATGCCTGTTATGTATTATGTACTTTGTTAGACCATACATAGTACATATGGCAGGAATGCTAAACAAAAGTGCCAAAGAAGACTGGACGCTGTGGCTCATGCCTGTAATCCCAGCACTTTGGGAGGCCGAGGCAGGCAGATCACCTGAGGTCAGGAGTTTGAGACCAGCCTGGCCAATGTGGTGAAACTCCATCTCTACTAAAAAAAAAAAAAAAAAAAAAAAAAAGCCGGGCATGGTGGCACATGGCTGTAATCCCAACTACTTACTAGGGTGACTGAGGCAGGAGAATTGCTTGAACCCAGGAGGCTGAGGTTTCAGTGAGCCTAGATTGTGCTGCTGCAATCCAGCCTGGGCGACAGAGTGACTCCATCTCAAAAAAAAAATGCCAAAGAAGGTAATGCATAGAGACTGTGGTGAATTAAGAAGCATATACCCACCTCCATTTATCCAGATAAGAGATACTCTCTCCATTTAAAGAGTATCTGTCACTCAACTCCAGTTACTGCCATGCAGGAATGTTGACCCAGTGTTGCTAGATCTTCTAGTTACTCAAGAGAAGCTAGAGATCTGAACTTACATATAAACTCTTCCAATTTTTACATAGTGGCAGCCAATTTACATTTTTTAAATGCTGTGTAGCCAAACAAAATACGTCTGCTGTCTGAATGTAGCCCATGGAACACCAGTTTGACCAGCACTAGTCTAGTGAAAAGGCATGAGCCTTACAGTAGAACAGAATTAGATTTGTATCCTAACTTCCCCCATTTTGCACTGTCCAACAGTATTCAGGGAACCCTTAGTGTTTCGTATTGTTTTAAATGCATCTCTCTCATTCAGCCTCTGTTTTTTGGTCAGGCAACAAGCTCTGCCAATTTTTTCTTCGAAGAGTTTTGTTCCAAGCTGGGAGCCGTGGCTCATGCCTGTCATCCCAGCACTTTGGGAGGCCAAGGTGGGTGGATCACTTGAGCCCAGGAGTTCCAGACCACCCTGGGCAACATGGCGAAACCTCATCTCTACAAAATTTTTTTTTTTAATTAGCTGGGCATGGTGGCATGTGCCTGTGGTTCCAGTTACTTGGGAAGCTGAAGTGGGAGGATCGCTTGAGCCCAGGAGGTCAAGGCTACAGTGAGCTGTGATGGTGTCATTGCATTCCAGCACTCCAGCCCGGGCATCAGAGTTAGACCTTGTCTTAAAAAATAAATAAATGAATAAATATAAATAAAAAATAAAAAGCTTTTACAGTAGTATTCCCTTCATTCTGCCCACCACCCCCATCTCCACTGGCACAACCAACCATCCCAGCATACCAAAGAGCACACCACTCTTCAGGACTAAGGTGCTCATTTCCTCAGCTGCTGGGCGCATTACTTGTCAACACCTATCAGCTAAATCCCTTTCCAGGAGTTGCCTTCAGCTGAAGAAAGCTGCCTCTCACCAGGTCCGTCTGCACTGACTGGCAGATGCAGGGCTCAGGGTGGGGCTGCTCTGAAGGGCTCTCCTGGCACCAGAGCTCCCTTAGGATCCGGAAGCTGAGGCATTTGCTGTAACTACATTTAGTTCAACTTTTTCTGCTCAATCCTACTCCTTTCCTGCACGGTGTTGATTCCAAGGGCAATTAAATCCATGAGTGTGGCCGGACACCATGGCTCAGACCTGTAATCCCAGCACTTTAGGAGCTGAGGCAGGTGGATCGCGTGAGCCCAAGAGTTCAAGACCAGCCTGACCAACATGGTAAAATCGTATCTTTACAAAAAATAAAAAAATTTGCTGGACATGGCGGTGAGCAGCTGTCATCTCAGCTACTCAGGAGGCTGAAGCTGGAGGATTGCTTGATCCCAGGAGGTAGAGGCTGCAGTGAGCCATGTTTGTACCACTGCACTCCAGGCTGGGTGACAGAGCAAGACCCTGTCTCAAAACAAACGGACAAAAACGTCCCATGAATGTGGTTTGATCCAGTGGAGCTGAATCATTCCCCTGGCCAGTTAGCAGTAAGGTCCACAGGGGAAGCCCTGACAGGCCCCGGCGTGCCATAGCAGTACGATGTTAAAACTTTCAGCAATGGTGAAGAGCTGGAATGGGTGGGATGTAACCTCAGTGGAACAATGCACTCGTAGGTGCAATCTATCAGGCATTTTAACAATATAGGGCAAATAGTAGTTTAAGAACAATGAAATTGGATGGCTACTGATGGAGTAAACCTGTGCTTTGGAGAAAGACAATGAAAGGTTGAGGATGATGAATCACCAATTAAAGGCTAAGGAAGAAAGCCAGTGTGCCTCCTTAGCAGCATATAAAGGAAGTAGGAGCTGCATAAGGCAGAAAAAGCGGAAGATGAAGCTCAGGATTTAATTATAAGAGCAGAAGAACGCCAAAAAGGTTTTCAGCCCTAGTGAGTGTACTATACCAAGGTCAGGGGCATAGTTGAGAAGTGGGACCCTGACACTTTAGATGGGGCATCTGGGTCAATGCACTTGAGAACCTTAAAACCCCACATCACCTTGAGTGCTCTGGGTTTGTAGAAGTGTCCCACTCCTCCCTCAAGAAACTAGCACCCCACCCCCTTGCTTGAAGATCAAGAAGTATTATCTGCCTTGCAAGGCAACACACGCTCTCCTCAGATCTACCTGCACTTTTCCACCTGTCTAACAGACCAATAACTAAGGTCAAGTCACACATAACCCCATTAAGAAAATGCTAGACCTGCTAAGGGAGGAGAGGCACTGTATCCTGAAGGAGCTAAAAAACCTACCCAACTTAGGCCGGGTGCGGTGGCTCATGCCTATAATCCCAACACTTTGGGAGACCGAGGTGGGTGGATCACAAGGTCAGGAGATCGAGACCATCCTGGCTAACATGGTGAAACCCTGTCTCTACTAAAAATAAAAAAATAAAAAATTAGCCGGGTGTGATGGCGGGCGCCTGTAGTCCCAGCTACTCTGGAGGCTGAGGCAGGAGAATGGTGTGAACCCAGGAGGCGGGCCTTGCAGTGAGCCGAGATCGGGCCACTGCACTCCAGCCTGGGTGACAGAGAGAGACTCCTCTGAAAAAAAACCTACCCAACTTATATACACATCTGCAGAAGGTGGGAGAACTGGGTAAAGGGTCCCCAGTGTGCTGAATTGGGGAGGGAGGAGAAAATAATGCTAAATAAAGCAGAGCATATTGATATAAGCACATTCCTGTACTACAGTATTTACATTCTGGCAAGGACTCCAGGAGATAAAGCTAACAGATTGCTAGGATGGCTCTAGAAAGCTTGGAGAAAGCAGTGGTCCACACTAAGCAAAATAGAAAGGCCAGAGCTGTCCTGGCAAACAATGGAAGAAGGGAGCAAAAGACTCAGAAGTGGGAATGACATATTATTTACATCCTATCCTGTCAGCTGTGTTCTGCTGTTTATCACAAGCAATAAGGAATGTGCTATTGAGAGGGACACAAGCATCACTGAGAAGTCCAATAGTCACTTTTCTCTGTAGACCAGGGCTTATAGTGGAAGATGTTTCAGGAGCTAGGGTCCCTGATAGCAATGGGCCTGCTAGAGACCAGGTAGCAGTGCATAACTAGCAGAAGATTAAGTGGCATTGTTAGAAGTGGCAAGATAGAATGGCATCCAAGGAAGCCTGACCCACAGGAAGCTATGAAGGTAGTTAGTAGGATACTGTGTGCCTCAAGATGTAGTTTTTAAAACACAAGGACAGATAAGGAGGCAGCTGAGAGGAGCTGCCCCAATAGTCATAATCCCTTGCCCTGTTTCTCAACCTGAGCCAATTTCCAGAACCTAATGACTGAGGAAGACCGGATTCCCAGCAAGGGTATATAGTGATGAGTCCTTGTCCTCTCTGAATGGGTACTTAGCATGGGCATACTTGGTGGTTGGCAGAACCTCTATGATAGTTCCTTGGCCTGTGGAGCAAGAGCTGTCATAGTGGGGAAGGCCAAGGCCATACCTGGGGAAGCTTCTAAAACTGCACCCCTCTCACCCAGCCAACAGTCGACATTTTTAAAAAGTGGCATACCCTGGGGGAACATCAGAGAAAAGGATGCAAATACAGAGTAGCAGGGCTCCCACTCAACAAGGCTGATCCAGCTGCTGATGCCACCAAATGCCCAACCTGCCAGCAACAGCACAGATCTTTTGTCATTTACTCTTTATTCTTTTTCCTGCTGAGAACGTAGATCAAAGCCTAGAAGTGAAGCAGCTATTTTGCAAAAGATGGAAGCTAAAGGAAGCTTGGGTCCCTGATACTTCTTCAAGCAGCTGTACCTGCCCTGAACTGCCTACCTCCAGAGTTCTGGTTACAGAAAGAAAAATAAAACCTCTGTTTTGTGAAGTATGTGCATCCAGGTTTCAGTTCCATGCAGCTGAATGTAACCCTAACTGACCCCCACAGATACTGAGAAAAGTAAAGAAAGAGGGGCTTTAAGCAGCTGCTGAATGGAGACCTAAAGGCATAGAAAGAGAGGTGATTTTCAGAAGTGTTACTGTGGGTTGTAATTAGGAAAATATACATAGGAATTAACTTCATTTTTGGTTGCTAGGTTCTTCCTCTGAATGTTATACTACTCCAAAACTGGGCCAAGTGATGTCTAGGACTTATTTGGATTATTTATTAAGTAACTAATTATGTAATTGTCATAAGTGGTAGTAGTATCATTAGTACTACTATAACAAAACTTTGTAAGAGGAACATTCCAGAGGAAGGGGCACAAAAGGAAATCAGAGCCAGAAATGGACACTATCATGCCTTTGTTCTTTTTACCTGGGTCTGAAATAACTTTTCTTTTGTTTCTCTTTTTTTTTTTCAAGGCAGAGTCTTGCTCTGTTGCCCAAGCTGGAGTGGCATGATCTCAGCTTACTGCAGCCTCTGCCTCCTGGGTTCAGGTGATTCCCATGCCTCAGCCTCCCAAGTAGCTGGGATTACAGGCATGTACCACCATGCCCACCTAATCCGTGTATTTTTAGTAGAGTTGCAGTTTTGTCATATTGGCCAGGCTGGTCTCAAACTCCTGGCCTCAAGTGATCCATCTACCTCAGCCTCCCAAAGTGCTGGGATTATAGGCCTGAGTCACTGTCTCTCCTTTAAAGCCCACCTAATCCTCTGATGCTGAACTTGCTTTGGCCACTCCAGTCCTTATTCCCCTGACTTTTTTTTTTTTTTTTTTTTGAGACAGAGTTTTGCTGTGTTGCCCAGGCTGCGGTACAGTGGCATGATCTTGGCTCACTGCAACCTCCACCTTCCAGGTTCAAGCAGTCCTCCTGCCTCAACCTCTCGAGTAGCTGAGATTACATGCAGCCACCACCATGCCTGGCTAATTTTTGTATTTGTAGTAGAGACAGGGTTTCACCATGTTGGCCAGGCTGGTCTAGAACTCCTGACCTCAGGTGATCTGCCCGCCTCAGCCTCCCAAAGTGCTGGGATTACAGGCGTAAGCCATCGTGCCTAGCCTACTCCCCGGACTTTTAAGCACACGTAGTCATCTTGTCTTCATCACAGGCATGCTAGGCTCCTAGCAGTATCAAACCACAGGAGAACCATTATAAATTTGTTTTGATTGATTAATCAAAGGGGAGCAGCTGGAAACAATTAGTAACAGACTAATTGTTATCAACTGCCTAGGTAAGGAAAATTACTATGAGGATTCATCCTATGTGAATGTTCTGGTGTAGCCATTAAAATGGTAAGTTATAAACAGCTGAGAAAGAAACATTTCTGTCTTTGGTGGTATAGTTAGTCTCTCAGTCTTTCAGAGAACTCTGCTTCTATTAATATCATTTATTTCTTCATTCTCACATACCTATTGCAGCTAAGTGTTCCATGGGACTCATAAGAGAAGATTCAATTTCTGCTCTGAAGAAGTGTAGTTATGAAAGATACATCAGGTCTCTAAATAACTATCAGAGATGATAGAATGATAGAAACTTCCTTTTAAGGGGTGCTTACAAGACATCAGGCATTATACTATGCACTTATATACAATATTGTTTTTAAAGTCCATACAACCATATGAGGTAGATATCACTATCCCCATTTCACAGATAAGGAAAAAAGTTCAAAAAGATTTAGTAAAATGCTCAGGTCGCCTAGCTAGTATAAGATGAGTCTGGTAGTTAGCTGAAGTCAGCTTTGTCTGACTCCAGGTTCATGCTCTTATCCACCATACAGCATGGTCCAAAGAGGGTTTCTTGGAACTTTCATGCCTCCAAATGACTCATGGCCAGACGAGTTTGAGAAATGCCATGCACTGTAGTTCCCTATTGGCAGTTCACAGTGTTGTTCTGTATTACAACACTGTAGTAGTTTAAGCCAGTGGCCTCCAAACTTTTTTGATGGTATATTCCTTTTTTAAAATTAAAAAAAATTTTTTGAAGGCATATTCATATCAGTAAAAGAATGTAAGCACCTCTGCCCAGTATAGGACTTACAGAATCTATATATTTTTAACTATTTTTAATTTTATTCTGTTTAATATATTACTTTTTGTTCTCACTAAAACTTCCAGCATTAGTAATATTTGCAACATGATTAATAGTATTTAATATATTATAAACATAAAATGTTAATATTGTTTATAATAATATTTTTAGTAAGAGCATTGTGGTTGGACTTGTTTTACATTTTTCAGCATTTTTTTTTTTTTGAGACAGAATCTTGCTCTGTCGCCCAGGCTGGAGTGCAGTGGCGCGATCTCAGCTCACTGCAACCTCCACCTCTTGGGTTCAAGTGATTCTCGTGCCTCAGCCTCCCTCATAGCTGGGTTACAGGCACCCACCACAATGCCAAACTAATTTTTTTTTTTCTTTTGAGATGGAGTCTCGCTCTGTCACCCAGGCTGAAGTGCAGTGGCGTGATCTCAGCTCACTGCAACCTCTGCCTCCCAGGTTCAAGTGATTCTCCTGCCTCAGCCTCCTGAGTAGCTGGGATTATAGGCACCTACCATCTTGCCTGGCTAAATTTTTGTATTTTTAGTAGAGACAGCGTTTCACTATGTTGGTTAGGCTGGTCTCAAACTCCTGACCTCAAGTGATCCACCCGCCTCGGCCTCCCAAACTGCTGGGATTACAAGCATGAGCCACTGCGCCCGGCCCTTCGATTTCAGCATATTGATTTATTGTTCTTTTCAAAGTTCTGCTTCTAAAGTTCAGTTTTTTTGTTTCTTTGTTTGTTTGTTTTTGAGATGGAGTCTCACTCTGTCGCCCAGGCTGGAGTGCAGTGGTGCAATCTCAACTCACTGCAACCTCTGCACCTGGGGTTCAAGTGATCCACCCACCTTGGCCTCCCAAAGTGCTGGGATTACAGATGTGAGCCACCACACCCGGCTTATTTTGTTCCTTTTTAAATGGATATCATAACTTATACATTTGCTCTAAAAGAGTACATACACACAAATGGATGAAGCTGTCATTAGTTCTGCTTACTATGTAATGTTTTTCTTTTTTTTTTTTTTTGAGACAGAGTCTCTCTCTGTCACCCAGGCTGGAGTACAGTGGCACGATCTCAGCTCACTGCAACCTCTGCCCCTGGGGTTCAAGCAATTCTCCTGCCTCAGCCTCCCAAGTAGCTGGGATTATATAGATGCCCACCAACACGCCCCGCTAATTTTTTTGTATTTTTAGTAGACATGGGGTTTCATGATGTTGGCCAGGCTTGTCTTGAACTCCTGACCTCAGGTGATCCACTTGCCTCGGCCTCCCAAAGTGCTGGGATTACAGGCGTGAGCCCCCCGTGCCTGGCCTATGATATTAATGTTCCATCCTGTTCACTAATTATGCAAAGGTGCTGCTGCTCTTGTAATGCTGTTAGCGTCTTTCCATTTTCCCTGATGGGAACCAGTTGTTCTTCTAAACTAACAAATGAGTACAAAATCCACTGAAACATTTCCTTTTAATCCTAAATGGGTTAGAAATTTTGATTTCCAAGTTTTAAAAGTATGCAGCTATGAGGTTTTTTGTTTTTGTTTTCGTTTTTTTTGTTTGTTTGTTTGTTTTGTTTTGTTTTGAGACGGAGTCTCACTGTGTCGCCCAGGCCAGAATGCAATGGCACGATCTTGGCCACTGCAAGCTCCACCTGCCGGGTTCAGGCCATTCTCCTGCCTCAGCCTCCAGAGTAGCTGGGACTACAGGCACCCGCCACCACGCCCAGCTAAATTTTTTTGTGTTTTTAGTGGAGACAGGGTTTCACATGTTAGTCAGGATGGTCTCGATCTCCTGACCTCGTGATCCACCTGCCTTGGCCTCCCAAAGTGCTGGGATTGCAGGCATAAGCCACCGCGCCTGGCCACAGCTATGAGTTTTTATAAATACATACTTGTCTTTACAACAAAACCACATAACTATGAAATATTTTTAAAGATCTGTTTTCCTAATGCCCTCTGCTTAACGTGTCTTTTTAGGAAAGGAGTTTGTCTTTCTCTCAATCATTGTTAAATAACACCTTTATTTTAAAGGTCACATTGTGTGTGTATGCACATGAATGCAGGCATGTTTTGATACTACTGACAGCCTCTGGCCTTCACAGAAAAGGTCAGCAAATTTAGTTTATTGGAATCCAGTTAGTGTAATCTATAGAACCACTTAATTAGGCACAGACAAGCTGCAGTGTATCACCATGCACTGAAAATGAATAAATGAATGAGGGTGTCACTAACATGTCCTCTATGGTATGGAGTCCCACTCTTGGAGAAATAAGAACAGCCTGAGAAAATACAGACATAAAGAACTGCCTACCTCCCCTCCTTTCTCTCTGACCTTATCCTCCTTCCAAGACTAAATTATGAACAAAGAAACTGTCAACCAGGAGCTCCTCCTGGGGAAGGAAAGAAAGCAGCCTTGATTAAAATGTAACTTCTAGGCAGGGCGGGCGTGGTGGCTCATGCCTGTAATCCTAGCACTTTGGGAGGCCGAGGCGGGTGGATCACAAGGTCAGGAGATCGAGACCATCCTGGGTAACACGGTAAAACCCTGTCTCTACTAAAAATACAAAAAATTAGCCAGGCATGGTGGTAGGTGCCTGTAGTCCCAGCTACTGGGGAGGCTGAGGCAGGAGAATGGCTTGAATCTGGGAGGCAGAGCTTGCAGTGAGCAGAGATCGTGCCACTGTACTCCAGCCTGGGTGACAGAGTGAGACTCCATCTCAAAAAAAAAAAAAAAAAAAAAAAAAGTAACCTCTGGTACTGGTATAAGGACAGCATATAAAACAATAGAATAGGCTAGGCACGGTGGCTCACACCTGTAATCCCAGCACTTTGGGAGGCTGAGGCGGGCAGATCACTTGAGGCCAGGAGTTGGAGACTAGCCTGTCAAACATAGCGAAACTCCATCTGTACTAAAAATACAAAATATTAGCTGGGTGTGGTGGTGGGTGCCTGTAATCCTAGCTATTCATGAGGCTGAGGCAGGAGAATTGCTTGAACCCAGGAGGCAGAGGTTACTGTGAGCCGAGATCACGTCACTGCACTCCAGCCTGGGTGAGACAGTGAGACCCCATCTCAAAAAATAAATACATAAATAAATAAAAAGAATAAAATTGAGAGTCTGTAAATAAACCTTCACAGTTACAGTTAATTGATTGTCAACAAGGATACCAAGACAATTCAACGGGGAAAGAATAGTCCTTCCAACAAATACTGCTGGGATAACTAGATAGCCACATGCAAAGTAATAAAGTTGGACCCCTATCTCACACCATATACAAAAATTAAAATGGATCAAAGACCTGAATATAAGAGCTAAAATTCTAGAACTCATCAAATAAAACAAAGAAGTAAATCTTTGTGACTTTGTGTTAGGCAGTGGTTTCTTAGATATGATACTAAAGCAAAGCAGTTAAAGGAAAAAAAGGTAAATTGGACTTCACATTTTTTTTTAACTTCATGCTTCAAAGAATACCATAAAGAAAGTGAAAAGACAACTCAAAGAATGGGAGAAAATATTTGCAAATCATATATCTGATAAGGGACTTGTATTTAGACTATATAAATAACTCTTACAACTCAAAAACAACAATAAAAATAAATAACCCAATTAAAAAACAGGCAAATGGCCTGGTGCAGTGGTTCATGCCTATAAACCCAGCACTTTGGGAGGCCGAGACGGGCAGATCACCTGAGGTCAGGAGTTTGAGATCAGCCTGGCCAACATGGCGAAACCCTTCTTTACTAAAAATACAGAAATTAGCTGGATGCGGTGGCGTGTGCCTGTGGTCCCAGCTACTCAGGAGGCTGATCAGGAGAATCACTTGAAAGTTGTGAGGCAGAGGCGGCAGTGAGCCAAGATTGCACCACTGCACTCCAGCCTGGGTGACAGAATGAAACTCCATCTCTAAATGAATAAATAGGCTGGGCGTGGTGGCTCATGCCTGCAATCCCAGCACTTTGGGAGGCCGAGGCTGGTGGATCATCTGAGGTCAGGAGTTCAAGACCAGCTTGGCCAACTTGGTGAAACCCTGTCTTTACTAAAAATACAAAAATTAGCCAAGCATGGTGGCACCCGCCTGTAATCCCAGCTACTAGGGAGGCTGAGACAGGAGAATCACTTGAACCCGGGAGGTGGAGGTTGCAGTGAGCCGAGATCGCACCACTGCACTCCAGCCTGGGCAACAGAAAGAGACTCTGTCTCAAATAAATAAATAAATAAATACAGGCAAAGGATGTAGATATACGTTTCTCCAAAGAAGATACACTAATGACCAATAAGCACAAGAAAAGATGCTCGACATTACGAGCCATCAGAAAATGCAAATCAAAACCACAGTGAGGTACCACTTCATGCCTAGTAGGATGGCTATAATAAAAAACACAGATGATAATGTTGTAGCAAGGATGTGGAGAAATTGAAATCCTGATACAGCGCTGGTAGGAATGTAATATAGTGCAGCTATTTTGGAAAACATTTTGGCAGCTCCTCCAAAGGTTAAACAGAGCTGTGATCAATCAGTTCTACTCCTAGGTATATACCCAAGAAAAATGAAGAAACATATGTGCACACATAGACTTGTACACAAATGTTCTTAGTAGCTTTATTTATGATCGCCAAAAAGTCAAAACAACCCAAAGATCTATAAACTGATAAATGGATAAACAAAAGTGGTATATTCATACAATGAACACTACTTATCTATAAAAAAGAATAAAGTACTGATACATGCTACACCATGGATGAACCTTGAAAGCATTATGCTAAGTGAAGGAGGCCAGTCACAGAATAGCACATACAGTATTGTATAATTTCATTTATATGAATTGTTCATAAAAGGCAAATCTATAGAGGCATAAAGTTGATTAGTGGTTGCCAAGACTGCTAATGGGTATGAGGCTTAATTTTGGGTTGATGAAAGTATTCTAAAATTGACTGTGGTGATGGCCTGTAACTGTGAATATACTGTAGTAAAAACCCTCAAATTGTGTGCTTCAAGTGGGTGAATTGCATCATACTTGAATTATATCTGAATAAAGCTTTTTTTTTTTAAAGTAACTCCTGCATTATTATTTTTCTTTGTTTTTAAGCAGGGTCTCGCTCTGTTGCCCAGGTTAGAGTGCAGTGCCATGATCACTGCCCACTGCAGCCTCAATCTCCCAGGCTTAAACAATCCTCCCACTTAAATGATCCTCCCTCTAGTCCTCCCAAACAACTGGGACTACAGGTGCACACCACCACACCTAAGTAATTTTTAAATTTTTTTTTGTGTTGCCCTGCCCAGGCTGGTCTCGAACTCCTGGGCTCAATGAGCCTCCTACCTCGGCCTCCCAAAGTGCTGAGATTACAGGCATGAGCCACACGCCTCCTCCATTGCTCTGATAGGCAAAATGAGAAAGGGATTAACCCCTCCTGTACATTATAACGGGATTTAGGGACTTCAAGGGAAAGGGGAAGCACCTTGTTAATGAAGAAAAGCTTCTTAATTAACCACTACTTGTTAAATCTAACAAGTTCAAAAGCTACTGACACAGCCATGTTTGCTGAAGGGAATAGCAAGCACAAAGATAATCTGACCCAGACGACCCATACCCATCCTCAGCCACAGACCCTGGTGAGCCTGAGCCTCTCCCCAGCTCCTGCTACCTCTGATGGGTCTTCAGGTCTTCCTTGTCCTAGCAGGGCTGATAGTCCTGCTGAGTTGCCCATTTGAATGAGGAAATGTCTGGAGAGAGGAGGGGGATGGGACAGAGCCTTCCCAGTGGTTTCCAGTGACTCAAAGAGGTTTTCCCAAAAGTCTTGTAGTAGAAGATGCTTGATCAAGAAAGTAGGACGTTCAGGGCCAGACCTTAGCAGAATCCTCTACCCCAACAAAGTGAAGGCCTAATTTTGTGCTACTTTCCCTTGCAACTCTGGGAGAATCAGATGCATCAAGAACTTTCACCTTCCTTCTATTGAATTTCGGTTCGCTTTCCAATGGTTCCAACATGCCCAGTGAAGTGAGTTGTTCCATCTGTACAACCTGGGGTGGTGTGGTGAAGGGGAAGGAGACCCGCTCCCTTTCCCACTTCCCAGTGAGGCCTATGAAGAGACAACTAGACTCTTCTCCTACCAAGTGGACTACCTCAGGCCTAGAGTTGGAGTTAGCAGACCACTGTAGGGGAGCCGCGGCCCTCAGCAGAGCTAGAAACAGTGGGAAACCTATGACTATAGGACCTTCTTCTTTTTTTTTTTTTTTTTTTTTTGAGGCGGAGTCTTGCTCTTTTGCCCAAGCTGGAGTGCAATGGTGCGATCTCAGCTCACTGCAACCTCTGCCTCCTGTGATCAAGCGATTCTCATGCCTTAGCCTCCCAAGTAGCCGAGATTACATGCACATGCCACCATGCCTGGCTAATTTTTGTATTTTTAGTAGAGATGGGGTTTCACCATGTTGGCCAGGCTGGTTTCAAATTCCTAGCCTTAAGTGATCCATCTGGCCAAACTTCCCAAAGTGCTGGGATTACATATAGGACGTGCTTCTAAGCGGACGACTCAAGGTATATGTAAGACCAAGCTTTCCATGTATACCTGTGTTAGAAGAAGCTGATCTCAGAAGGGCAGGTGAATATTTGGGTGAGAAAAGGCAAAACATGGCTAAGGAGCAGCCAGAAGGCCAGGTTGGCTGGAATACGGGCCTAGTTAGAAGACAGAGTCATGAATGGAGCTATTCTGGGCAAAGCCTTGAAGGTCACGCTGAGAAACTGGAATTCTCTGCCTATAGCCCCAGTGTACAAAAGGTGGTTGTTACCCAAGGACAAAGCCACAGCTATGTCCTCTGCTTGGATTTCAGAAAAGAATACATTTTTAAATCATCTGCAGGAGCCTAAGACAAAGGTTTATCTTTGGCTCCAATTATATAATTCCAAAAGTACGAAGACTTTTGTACATGTCTGGTTCTTGGTTGCACACATCAGAAGCCACCTGCAGTTTACCTAAACAGAAAGGGAGTGAGTATATTGGAAAAACGTTGGTGGGTCACAGAACAGGTGGGGAGGCTTGGCTACCAGCCCCAGGAAACAGGCAGGAACTCATGAAGGTGAGTCAGCAGAAAACCCAGCCAAAGATGTGACACAGGAACATCACCCACAGCCACAGCCACTGCTATGGATGCTCTCTAAGGGCTCCCGTGTCTTGGCATCATCACGCCCCCCAAAACCATCATTCCCTGCTGGAGCAGCCCACTGGTGAGCCAGGAGGCAGGGACAGGGAATGTCTGGCCTTTGCCAGCTCCCACAGGCAGAGGCCCTCCCATCAAGACCTTCCAAAAGTGGAATTCCCATGAAACAGGAAGGCGATCTGGGTGTTACATAGCCCCCAAAACCAGCAAATGTTCATAATTTGGAAATACCTAAAAAAGACTGATTTTTCCATTTTTTTTCTAGTTTTAACTCAAAGAGTTAAGTATGGGTTAAGTATATGGCCTGAACTCAGACCAGACCTGGTTTTGAAGCCCAGCTCTACCGTTTCCTAGTGGTGTGGCCCTGGGCAAGCAAAGTAACCTCTCTGAACCTATGCTTTTCTGTAAAATGGGGTCATTATAGTACCTACCTCACAGCTTTGAACCTAAAGGTTTAAGTGAGATCACGCGTGTGAAGATCCTACCAGTGGTTGGCACTGGGGAAGCACTCCATAAATATCAGCTATTATCATTGAGTGACCTGACCTAAGGCCTGAGAAATTAGCATGGTCACTTTGGGCCCCATACCTTGGGGTATGTGGGCTCTGACCTGACTTTAAATCCAGGCAGCTAGAGCCACACAAGGGAAGGGGGATGTACAGATGTCCACTTGGACATGTCTCCCCCTCATTCTTTGCTTTTTTTACCTTTTATTTTTATTTTTTTATTTTTTTGAGACGGAGTTTTGCTCTTGTTGCCCAGGCTGGAGTGCAATGGCGAGATCTCAGCTCACCGCAACCATCACTTCCTGGGTTCAAGCGATTCTCCTGCCTCAACCTCCCGAGTAGCTGGGACTACCAGCATGCGCCACCATGCCCAGCTACTTCTGTATTTTTTAGTAGAGACAGGATTTCTCCTTGTTGGTCAGGCTGGTCTCAAACTCCTGACCTCAGGTGATCCACTTGCCCCAGCCTGCCAAAGTGCTGGGATTACAGGGGTGAGCCACCATGCCAGCCTTTTACCTTTTATTGCTTAAGGCCATGGGCTTTGGTGTTACAGGTTTGGATTTGAATCCAGACCTACCAGATGATGTTGGGCACCTCAAGTGAGTTATTTAACTTCTCTAACCCTCAGGCTTTTTTATTACAAAGTAAGAAAAATGCCATCTACCACGTGGCAGTGCTGTAATAAGTAAATCAGATAGTCTGTGGAGGGTGCTTAGCACCCTGGCTTATAGATGAGAAGGGTCCTCATTAGTATTTATTGGTCCTCATGGGCTAGGGGAGAAGTAGCACCTCCCAAGAAGATTCTTTTCCTTCTATAACATCACATGTGCATTTATCTCTTTGATGCTTAAATTATCTGGCAAGGATTCTTTTGGTTTCTACAAAAAATTTTGTTTTAAATCACCTTGACAGTGGGAGGTCACATCTGTGGAAAATGCTGGTGTTCATGTAACAAAAAGCTAGACCAGATCACTGCAAGCGTGCAGGTCCAAGGGTAAAGCGGGTCAGCACTGCTGAGAGTATTGTCCACTGGACTCTCTTTCCAGAGATGCTCCTCAGGAAGGGTGCTGTAGTCCAATAGGTTTGGCAAGCATGACTCCATCCTCCTTTTGGAAAATTACAATGCAGGCCAGGCATGGTGGCTCACTCCTATAATCCCAGCACTTTGGGAGGCTGAGGCAGGCGACTCACTTGAGTCCAGGAGTTCGAAACCAGCCTGGGCAACATAGTGAAATCCCATTTCTACTAAAAATACAAAAATTAGCCAGGTGTGGTGGCACATGCCTGTAATCCCAGCTACTTGGGAGGCTGAGGCACAAGAATCACTAGAACTCAGGAAGTAGAGGTTGCAGTGAGCCAAGATCATGCCACTGCACCCCAGCCTGGGTAACAGAATGAGACTCGGTCTCAAATAATAATAATAATAATAATAATAATAATAATAAAAGTGTATATACAACATAGTATAAACATAGTTCTATTCAGAGTCTACCACATTATAAATCTGACCTAACATTAATACGGAAGCTATAATAAACATTTAATCTAAGGTAATTTTGTATGCCCCCTTAGACTTTAGCAAAACTTTAAAAATGTGTGCTTAGAAGCTACCCAAAGAAATTTTACTACTCGCCTTCTTTTTCTCTCAGTGCCTTCTATTTTTCTTATTATATTCAACAGTATGTCATTTGGTTCAGTCCTACACTTGACACTCTGTTGACAACCATCAGAGTCCTTCATACTCTTTCAGGAAACCACACAAGTAAAAAGAAGCATCAGGAAATTCCACAGTGAACAGTTTAGGCAGGCAGATAGGCAGGTGCCTGAATCCTAACTATGGTGTGCATATGTGTGTGCATGTGTGCATGTACGTGATTTCTGTGTGCACACGTGTGTGAGTGCATGTTTTTATTCATGCCTGCATGTGGGAACATGATTTGTGTGCATTGGTGTGTGCACAAGTGTGTATTTGTGGGTGCATGTGTGTGTATGCATCTGTGTGTTGGAAGACAAAACACAACCAAGACACTACTTCCTGAAAGGGGATATTGGGGTTGGGGGCAACACAACTCCTTAAACTGTGTTTAAGGCAGTCCTCACCAGTTAACTTCCAGAGAAGGGAAGAAACTCAGAAACCTTTCAAAGGAAGGAAAGAGCAACAAAAGTTTGGGCGTGATTAATTCATAAAAAGATGAATGAAAATGTAAATAAAATGTTAAATTGAGCATTAAGTTCTTCAAGAGGCTGAGAAGGAACAGGCCTGGCTTTATTATACTGCATTAAAACCAGTGATAACTATTTTCAGTTTTAAGTTGTAATTCTTTTTTTTTCTTTTAAGTCTTTTTCTAGGTTGGGTTTCCCAGAACAAAACCCTGAGATGAGGACCTGTGTGTAAGTAATAAATTTAAAAAATGGCTCCCAGGAGAAATCAGTGAAGGCGTGGAGGAGGCAGGCAAGGGAAGGAGCCCAGCCAGTCTGTGATTCAGCCTGATCCTGCAGGGAGGGGGTGGGTGGGAAACACTCTGGGATGTAAGTCACACCTGAGTCTGTCTCAGCCTAAGGCAAGAGAGGGTCTCACCCTTGGTCATCCACTAAGGGCCACACCAGGAGCATGAAAACCTACTAGACACTTCCAGAATTCTGTCCTTGAGTGAAAAGCAGCTCCAGTAGCCCAGGGCAAATTCCCCTAAGAAGAGTTACAGGTGCAGGCCATTGTAAACAAAAGCACACTTGAAGGCAGAGAGAAATGACCAAAATCATAAAAAAATCTAGAGGGGCACTCTCTCTGAATCTGCTGTGATTCTGAGGGCTGCCTGATTAAAAAAAAAAAAAAAAAAAAGATCTGGAGGGATTTGGACAGAACGCTTAGATCAAACATTATCCTTTTACACCGTGGGGGTTCCTGTCTGGGCCTCCTGCCGTGTGGGATATGCAGAAGGCACTGCAATGAAGAGAGAGTCACCAGTGCAGGAATGCAAACCATGAGGAGAGAGTGAAGAGGCATTTGGAAGTCCTGAAGTACTGTAAAGAATGAAGACTTCTGGCCAGGCACAGTGGCTCATGTCTGTAATCCCAGCACTTTGGGAGGCTGAGGCAGGTGGATCACTTGAGGTCAGGAGTTCAAGACCAGCCTGGCCAACATGGTGAAACCCCGTCTCTATTAAAAATACAAAAATTAGCCAGGCGTGGTGGCGCATGCCTATAATTCCAGCTACTCTGGAGGCTGAGGCAGGAGAATTGCTTCAACCCAGGAGACGGAGGTTGCAGTTTGCCCAGATTGTGCCACTGCACTCCAGCCTGTTGACAGAGCGAGAATCAGTATCAAAAAAAAAAAAAAAAGAAAGAAAGAAAGTAGGTAGACCCAGCCCTGTGATCCAGGAGAAAAAAGAATATGACTCAGGGACCTGCCTGAGAACCCAGAATTGGTTCAGAATATGAGAAACTCCATTGTAAGAGGCCTGTGAGCCCCCACCCAGATGAACCCTCACAGCAAAGACTGTACCATGAAACAGAAATCATCCCTGGCCTGGCCAAAGAAGCATGCCCGGACCACCACTGCCTAACAACTAGATGAATGGAAAATCTTTGAAAATTGGGTCATGGATGCTGGGTAGCCTGAAATGTGCACTAAATGGGGTATTTATCTGTATTGCTAGAGATCGCCGATTCCCAGGTACCAGGCACCTCTCTCTGCCCTCCTGCGAGGCGACACAGTGATACAGTTAAGGGGAGTCAGACTGCCTGTGTTTGTACCCTGACTGTGCACAAAGTGGGTGAGCTAAGCCAAGCCACTTCACTTCTCTGAGCCTCAGTATCCTCATCTGTAAAGTGGAGTTATTTATAAAACGTACCTCCTAGTGGTGGTTTTATTTTGTTTATTGGTTTTGTTTTTCCAAGATTCATTAGTATATATAGCTCAGTGCCTGGGATAGCCTGTGATCAAACACATTATCTGTTATTATTTGGCTATACTTTCCTCTTGAACAGACTTCCTGAAACAAGCCGCACGCCAGCTGAACTTATTTTGATATCATTAGCTTTTTGGTTAGTTATCGTTTACAAAAGCGTAGTATATAAATATTCTATTTTGGGGCTGAGAAGAACATTTTCAGACTTTTTAACCAATGAAACCTTATTTTCAAACCAACTTCTGTAAGAAGCTGCATTTGTAAAGCTAGTGAAAGCTGCCTCTAGTTGAAGCTGTTGGGAGTGGAAGCCTCACCTTTCTTCCTGCCCAGTGCCTGAGACACCATGGGAAGCCCTGGTCTCCTGGAACAAGGAAGAACACACCCCACGTTCAACATTGCCCCAGTACATCCTCTTAGTTTACAGTCTGAAGTTCATCAGGGGGAGACGACTTGTTCAAGATCTTTCCAGCCTGTCAGGGACAGAGCAGGCACTTGAATCCAGGCACTGTTCTCTTCGATGGCTTCCCTCACTTTCATCACTCCAGGACCACCTGCAACGTTTTTGGTTTTGCTAGAGTATCATGTTATTTATTTATCTAATTCCTTTCAGTGATTCCCCCTTCTTTTTTAAAATCTTAGCCTTGCTATGAGCAATAACATCCACGAATCTCATGTTTGACCTATTATATGTCTTTCTTAATATACATTTAAACAAATAAGTATTTTTAAAACTATGTGTTCATGGCCAGGTGCATTGGCTCACACCTGTAATCCCAGCACTGTGGGAGGCCAAGGCGTGAGGATCACTTGAGCCCAGGAGTTAGATACCTTGCAACAAAGCAAGACCCCATCTCTACAAAACATAAAAATTAGCTGGACATGGGGGCACTCACCTGTAGCCCAAGCTACTCAAGTGGCTGAGGCAGGAGAGTTGCTTGATCCCAGGAGTTCAAGGCTGAGGTAAGTTATGATCACACCACTGAACTCCAGCCTGGGCAACAGAGCAAGACCCTGACTCAAAGAAATTATATATATATAAAATATATATATATTATATATAATTTTAGAGCATATATTTGGAACAAAATATATACTTTTGCAACATGTACATATAATTTTGGAGCATACTGCTCTGTGTGCAAAAAAGAAAATGTCTTAGCTCTGTGGAAGCCAGTCCAGGTTAGCTGCTATGTTTATACCAAATACCAGGAGGTCCAGGGATTTGCTGGGCCCTGTTCCCTGTGGGCCTCAATTCAACAGGATGACACAAGTTTAGAATGAAATTAAAGCATGACTACAATGCCGTTGTTTTTATGTTTCTTTTTTCTTTTTCTTTTTTTTTTTGTTTTAATTAGAAACAAGAGGTAGGAGGATGCTGAATCAGGTGCTCCTTTGAAAGCATTTCCCATTCTATAATTTACTGGGTTCCACATACTATGGAATGTTTGAATTTATAACTTTTCAAGAACTGTCTGTATATGTTTAATGTGTATACATTACATTGACAAAGCCAGTTAGTCCAGCCTTTGTAATCACAATAAGATGCTGCAGGGCTCAAATGGTGGGGAAATAACTCCCACCTTGGAATGTTAATTGCACTTGCTTCTCAGCCTGGAGGCTGAAAATGCAGCAGGATCATTGTGCAACACTACATGTCCCATCTTGTCTGACTGGCTGTAGCTTTAGAAATGAAGAAAGAGAAGAAAATAATTTAAGTTTTGCCTAGAGTTAAGGTTACCTTTTTTTTTAAAGCATTCCTCCTTCCCCTTTCAGATAAAACAACCCATATAGACTGTACCAGATATAGAGATTTAATGCTTTTTCTGTTCTCTTCAAAGATAAAATTTTCAGTGGACTTTTCCACTTGGTGCATGTCCTATGCTTGGCTTGTCACCTTACATCTGACACAAAGGTAATATAACCCAGGATTGGTGAGACGTACCCTCTCCTTTGCATTCCACATTCAGAAGATCTCATTTCCATTTCCAGTTACACAAATATCAGAGTCCCACTGTGGGTAAAAAGTCTTCCAGAAGTGGTAAACCCAGATTAGATAGTCAAGCTGCTCCTAGAAGATAAACTAAAAATAATAATTAGTAAAGCATTAGCAGTATACTAGCTGAAAGCACAGACTTTCATTCAGACAGAGCTGAGTTTGAATCCTGGCTTTTTACCACCATGAGATGTGGGGTGAGTGAATTAACCTCTCTAGTCCTTTGATGTCTTCACTTACAATCCAAGGATACGAATAGTACCTACCTCATAGGGCTGCTTTGAGGATTAAATGAAATCATGCTTATAAGATATTAAGTGCTACAAAGCACTGGAAATTGCTAGCCATTATTCTCATATAACTCTCATGATTACCATTACTTACAAATTGCCTGAAATCGATATGGTCACTGTGGCAGATTCCACGAATGGGTCCACACAATATCTGCTTTGACCATTTCTAAAACCTACAGTGTCTGGACTCTTTTGTAGCTAGGGTTCTGCCTATGACCCAGGTTCTGCCCAGCAGATGCCTATGTGCTCCAGGAAGATGAAGGTCATTTAAGTGAAGTGGCAGCACATGTAGTTGGGTCCATCTTTTTGCAGACATGACCGTGAAAGAGCCTTGAGAGAAGCCTCACTGTCCAGCCCCCAGCATCACAGGTATTGAATGGTGAGCAGCAGCAGTGGGGCTTCTGTGAGAACAGCCCTGTTTATGGCTGGGCATTTCTGCTGGGGTTGTTTCCGGCTGTGTGGTATCCTCACCTGTTTCTCTGGCACTGCTGGAAATCCCATAAGCTACCTAATACCCTGCTGTAACCCCTTTCTATTGAAACTAGCTAGAGTGAATTCTGTTGTCTGCAACTAAGAACACAGTAATTATCAAAACAATCAATACAGTAACTATCAGAATAATCCTTATTACTATAGTATAAAGATTTCTTTTTTTTTTTTTTTTGAGACAGAATCTTGCTCTGTCACCCAGGCTGGAGTGCAGTGGTGTGATCTTAGCTCACTGCAATCTCTGCTTCCTGGGTTCAAGCAATTCTCCTTCCTCAGCCTCCCGAGTAGCCGGGACTACAGGGGCACACCACCATGCCCGGCTAATTTTTTGTATTTTAGTACAGACGGGGTTTCACCATGTTGCCCAGGCTGGTTGTGGACTCCTGACCTCGTGATCCGCCCACCTCGGCCTCCCAAAGTGTTGAGATGACAGGTGTGAGCCACTGCACTGGTCAAGATTTCTTTATTAGTCATATTCAGGTTACTAAGGGATAAATAAAAATATGTATAAAAACCTTTCCCTTGGCCAGGCGCAGTGGCTCATGCTTGTAATCTCAGCACTTTGGGTGGCTGAGGTGGGCGGATCACGAGGTCAGGAGTTCAAGACTAGCCCGACCAATATGGTGAAACCCTGTCTCTACTAAAAATACAAAAATTAGCCGGGCGTGGTGGTGCGTGCCTGTAGTCCCAGCTACTCTGGAGGCTGAGGCAGGAAAATAGCTTGAACCCGGGAGTCGGAGGTTGCAGTGAGCTAAGATCACACCACTGCACTCCAGCCTGGGTGATAGAGTGAGACTCCGACTCAAAAACAAAACCAAAAACAGAACCAAAAACAAAAAAACTTTGCCCTTGCCTTCAAAATATATTTATCCTAAAATATACCGAATGAGTTGAAACCTGTTTTGTTTTTGTTTTTGTTTTTTAAAAAAAGCTTAATTTTCTTTGGCAGCAGAAAGCCTTTTCTAAGGAACTAGCAGAATGAGCTAATTAAACTTGAAGCTTTACGGAAAAGAATCCTCACTTGGGTCTTTATTGAGGATGACAGGCAAGCCTACCTGGCAGTGTTCTCTAGAAATTATAATGGGAGAGTTGAAAGGTGAGCCAGAAAGCCAGTTTGTGTGTATAAGTACTTGGCTCGGTAGGTTGTATATAGGCACTAATGTACTTACTTATAGGATGGTACCCAGGGGAGTGCTCAATTACAATGAGAAGAATGCCTTGAAAGAAGTAATTAACAAGAGCATTGGGATATCTCTCCAGACAGATTTTGAATTAATGAAAAATTACTGTGTGATGGGTACAGCCCTGGGTGAAGTGTGGTTTCAGTTTTACCAGTGTTCTTATCTGTTTTCATTGTCATTAGTAGTTTTAAAAATATAACATCAAATTCTTTCTCCTTAGAAAGACTGCTCTTTTTTTTGAGACAGGGTCTCACCCTGTCTCCCAGGTTGGAGTGCAATGTTGCAATCTCAGCTCACTGCAACCTCCACCTCCCAGGTTCAAGCGATTCTCCCACCTCAGCCTCCTCAGTAGCTGGAACCACAGGCGTGCAACACCACACCCGGCTAATGTTTTGTATTCTTAGTAGAGATGGGGTTTCACCATGTTGCCCAGGCTTGTCTTGAACTCCTGGCCTCAAGCAATCCACCTGTCTTGGCCTCCCGAAGTGTTGGGATTACAGGTGTCAGCTATGGCACCCAGCCATGGACTGCCGTTACGGTGTGTTTTTTGAGCGACTGTGGCCCCATTGGCCACTCTCTTGTCATTTTTATTCAATGCCTAGTTTCCCATTTTCTCCCTTATATCTTTCTGGCAAAATGTAATAACCTGTTCAAAGCAGATCAGAGAACTTCTCACAATGCTAACAGGCAGAACGGTCAAGTGCTTAAGGTACTTATTGTCTGTCTTCCTCCATAAAAAAGGACAGAAAATGCTGGACCTCTGGCTTAGTCTGTCAGTTGGTATACTAGTTTCCTATGGCTGCTATAACAAAATGCCACAAATTTAGTGGCTTAAAACAACACAAATGTATATCTTATAGTTCCGGAGGTCAGAAGTCCAACATCAGTTTCACTGAGATTTAGCCAAGTGTTTGCAGAAATGGCTCATTCTGGAGGCTTCAGAAGGGAATACATTTCCTTACCTTTCTCAGTTTTGCAGGCTGCCTGCAGTCCTTGCCTCACAGCCCCTGCCTCACATCACTCCAAGCTCCTGTTTCCGTGAGCACATCTCCTACTCATCACTCTGACCCTCCTGCCCCCTCTTATAAGGACCCTTGTGATTACATTGGCCCCACCTGGATAATCCAGGGTTGTCTCTCCATCTCAAGATCCTTCATATAAATCACATTTTCAAAGTCCCTTTGTCATATAAGGTGATATTCACAGATTCTGGGGATTAGGGATTACTCAGCCTACTACAGGTTTCAGGAAAGCAAGTTCTAGCTTTGTCAATCAATGAGGACTCAGAGGTTACATAGAGAAATGATGAGGAGATCAATAAAACCAACAGGCATTTGAGATACAAGGCAAATATCTGGTTATCTTGCTGTCCTCTCAGCACAGGTGCCTTTTGCTGCAGACTCTAGACTTCTACCTTTATTGTGACTGTCTTTACTTCCTCTCTGTCTGACTGATGATTCTAGTATTTCTAGCAGTCAAACTGAGTCAGCCAGAGCCCATCCTGTAGAGGGCGCCCCTTTTCTGCCTGGCTCTTTTACGAGGACATCTCATGGCTGCTGTCTAACCTACAGATGGCAGCTTTTTCATCAGTCACTAATCCTTGGTCCACTCAGCTTCAGCCAGGAAAGCTGGGCCACAAGACACAAAATGTGTACAGGAACCACGGGCCTTTGTCTCTGAAAGGCGCTGGGAAGTTGCAACAATTCAGAGATTGTTAGACTCTTCTCCAAAACACTGTCAGTGACCACAGAGTTTGGGCAAAATTTTTTGCTTCCTGATTTTTGAAACTGGGATGCTTGTAGGTGCTTGTTAAAAATGGATTTTGGTTAATATTTACAAAATATAGTATTCCTAAGAAATCAAATTAGAAGGTCCAAAAATAGAGTGCTTTGGAAAGCAAAGGCTTGTCATGATGGCCTGTAGTCTAATCATAGACTCTAATTACAGGAAAAGATACACATGCAACAAAGGAAGTCTTCTAGGTCAAAGGTCTTTATGGTACTTCAGATTATATAAAGCAACACACTGGAATTCCCAAGCTCTGAGTCATCCATGAAAAAAATATTTCATATGGCTTCCAGGACACTGAGTTGAATTCAGACACCATTTTATAAACGTCTACTCTCTTTGATAGAGGAGATCTAGGAAAGGAGAGAAGTAATCTGGAGCATAGCACAGAATTAAACTGACTTTTCTTTAATGGAGTCATAGAGCCTGTTACACTGTGGATTCTTGGATCGTGTCAGATAATCATAGATTGAGCCACTGGATTAGTCATAGCATGAATTTCATAATCACCATATAATTGACACAGACCTTTAAACAGTCCTTTTTCTCCTGGAAGCCAGTTTTTTGCTGGAATTAAATGAACTGACCCTTTCTGCAGAAAATGGAACCAACTTTTCACTTCGCTCACCTTGGCAGTAATTAGGAGCTTTCTAGGAGTTAGCACTCCTCCTCGCCAAGCTGTCCAAGTGGAAACAATCAGATTATCCTTAAGAATGCAAAGGTTGGGCCGGGCGTGGTGGCTCACACCTGTAATCCCAGCACTTTGGGAGGCTGAGGAGGGTGGATCACGAGGTCAGGAGATAGAAACCATCCTGGCCAACATGGTGAAACCCCGTCTCTACTAAAGTACAAAAAAAAAAAAAAAAAAATTAGCCGGGTGTGGTGGTGCGTGCCTGTAGTCCCAGTTACTCAGGAGGCTGAGGCAGGAGAATCGCTTGGAGGCAGGAGAATCACTTGAACCCAGGAGGCGGAGGTTGCAGTGAGCCGAAATTGTGCCACTGCACTCCAGCCAGGCGACAGAGCGAGACTCCTTCTCAAAGAAAAAGAATGCAAAGATTCTCTCTCCAAGTGGGAGACCAGAGCAAAGGTAAAGGGGAAAATATTTAATGTTCAGGCTGTGAAGAAAACTAATTAACTGATTGTACTATGTGTATTTCCACTTCATAAACACCAACAATTAATTAAGCCATTATACAGCTCAGGCACATCTAACTCTAGCTTGGACTCTGGAACCAGAAGGACCGCTCAAATCCCAGCTTGGCCACTTACTAACAGTGTGATTTTTGGCAGATGGGACCGACAGGGGTGCATGTTCCATGGGAATGTTGTGACAATAGCAGATGAAATTCACATGGCAAATTATGTGAGTGGGAACCCTCACTAAGCCTTACCTACTTTTTGTTAATCACTGTTTACTCTCACCATTCCAAATCTCTAAGCCCTATCCAGAGTCATGTCACAATCAGAAGCCACCTCAAACCACCAGGCTACCCCTCCCTTCTTTGAAACTCAGTTTTGGAATCTTTTTTGTACTTATTTGGGCTTTCCAACCTTCCAGGAACACTTTTTTGTTTTTTTTGGGGGTGGGGGATGGAGTCTCTCTTTGTCGCCCAGGCTGGAGTGCAGTGGCGCGATCTCAGCTCACTGCAAGCTCCACCTCCCAGGTTCACGCCATTCTCCTGCCTCAGCCTCCCAAGTAGCTGGGACTACAGGTGCCCACCACTACGCCCGGCTAATTTTTTGTATTTTTTAGTAGAGACAGGGTTTCACTGTGTTGGCCAGGATGGTCTCGATCTCCTGACCTCATGATCCACCCACCTCGGCCTCCCAGAGTGCTGGGATTACAGGCATGAGCCACCGCACCCGGCCACCTTTCAGGAACATTTTCTAACACTTAAACTTAAGTCTGGAGTTTGGCTTTTGATGATATCTTCTCCTCCCCTATGTTCTAAGCAACTTTCTTTTATTCAAGAGTTTCCTTCATTCTTTCTCTCCAATTTTTCATTCCTGGTCTTCTCTTTCCCCAATTTTCTCTCTCCAAGGCCAGAGATTGAAGAGGAAATTCCCATCAAGTTTAGAAAATGTGAAATGTGTTCAGGCTCGGGGAAGGAGAAAGAGAAGAAATCATACCTTTATGATTCCTTTCTTTTCCCCCAACACATATAAGTTCAGCCCCTGGTAAATAATTCCCTTCCCTTTCCTGGTCTGTAGTTTCTCAACCTTCTTGGAATCTCCTTTGAAAATATAAATATTTCCTTCCATCCCTCACCCCAATTTTATTCAAAACTTCAAAATAAATGTGATATGACTAAAAACATATTAAAACAATGGTCATCTTAGAATATGCCTATCCAGACTACACAAGCACCCTGAGAAATGTGAAATCTCTCCCTTGGCCCCCTCTCCACTCCCAGGCAGTTGCCAATCACCGCCTGGGTTTAATGATCTTCAACAGAATGTGCTCTAAATTGTCGAGTTTCCTGGCCAGAGCTGGCTCTTTGGGTGTAAGCTCCCAAAACTGGTGACCATTTCTATCTAATTCTGTTTGTGTTTCATCCAGAATAGCAGCTTGTCATATAAGCACTTAAGTCTGATTCCTGATACAGATTTCTTGGCAAATATTGGGTATGGTTAAGAGACCTTGTTCTGGAGTCATGCCACACACAGGACAGCTACCTTTCATGGCCTCTGCGGCAATCACATTAGGACCAGGTTGACGTGGTTCTGGCCATTTGACAGGGGTAGATGTGATGTATGTCACTTACAAGCCTGTTCCCAAAGTGTCCCACACTATCTTCCACACTAGTTGGGCAATCACATAGAAAAGATCTAGGAGAGAACTTCAAGAAGGCTCTGGAGGGGGGTTATGGAGCTACAAGATAGAAAGTGCGTGGATCCCTGAGTCACAGCTAGAAGGAGATTGCCCGAGAGGGCTGCCCAACTCACATTCACTGTGAGGTGAGGGAGAAATGAATCCTTATTGCATTAAGCCACACAGATTTGGGGATTCTTTGCTACAGTAGCTAGTGTTAATTAACCTAATACATTTTAAAAGTTCTTAGAATATAATAAGCCTAAGAAAAAGTTAGTTTTTATTAGCTTATTATTTGTTCCATCCACTAACATTTATTGTGTATTGCAGGTAATGCTGCATATGTTTCCCACAACACTTTAGAAGGTGGGTACCCAGGCCTTGCTCTCTCTCACCAGAGGGCCTTTATCTATGTTTTCTCTGGCTTACCTATTCCTTCCTCCCCTCTCCACATAGTCAACCACTACTCATCATTAAGACCAAAGCTCAGGTATGCTCCTACTCATCAAAACCCTCCCTAACTCTCTAGACTAGATCAGTGTTCCCTATTACATGATCTCATAAATCCCTAAACATCTCCTGCAGGGTACTTAAGACAGTTTGTCATTACATGACTATGTAATTCTTTTTTTTTGACACGTAGTCTTGCTCTGTTGCCAGACTGGAGTGCAGTGGCAAAATCTCAGCTCACAGCAACCTCCGGCTCCCTGGTTCAAGCTATTCTTCTGCCTCAGCCTCCTGAGTAGCTGGGATTACAGGCATGCACCACCATGCCCAGCTAATTTTTGTATTTTTATTAGTAGAGACAAGGTTCCACCATGTTGGCCAGGATGATCTCAATCTCCTGACCTCGTGATCTGCCCACCTAGGCCTCCCAAAGTGCTGGGATTACAGGTGTGAGCCACCATGCCCAGCCGACTGTGTAATTATTTGGTAAGCATCTCCCTTCCTCAACACAGAGTAAGCACCAAGACAGCAGGGGCCATCCTAGTTGATTCACTGTGATATTCCCTGTGCTTAGCCTGACGCCAGACACACAAGATGAGCTCAAAAAGTATTTGAGTATATGGTGTATCTGGGCAGGATAGGTTTCACAGGTTTTCTGCTTCTTGGTGAGGTCAACCGTCAGTGTTGGATCTGGTCTTTATCTTTGCAAGTTTAGAAACTTAATTTTTCATGGAAGGCCAGCACCTGGAACAGGATTCCTAATAACTACACTTAGAGGATGTCTACTTCCTGACTGTGAGGTCCCTGGGAAAGTAAATTAGTGAGTATTCAGAAGCCCATTTGATGACAAAAGAAAGAGCTTGGTTTTGAGAGGAATTCACTTCTTTTAGGCTGGAAAATTAACCTTGTTTTCTTTTAGTGCATATTTCTTCTACATACAGCTTTCTTTTCACCATTAGAGACCACTGAAATCATCCTTAGTAAGGTCATGGCATATAATAGGAGCTCAATAAGCATCTGAATACATATCTGTGGGTCTTATTTGTTGAATGACTGACACGTGGCCTTATGCTTTGGCTCTCCATTTCTAGACCCCAATTAGTGATTGCCTTTTGTTACAGCATCAGTTGTCCTTGAATCTCTACCATGGAAGTTTGAAAAGAACTAGTGAATATGAGCCAGACCTACAAGATTATAAATTCCTTGAAGTTAAGAATCATTATCAAGGCCAGGAGCGGTGGCTCACGCCTGTAATCCCAGCACTTTGGGAGGCTGAGGCGGGTGGATCACCTGAGGTCAGGAGTTCAAGACCATTTAGTAACTCCATTTTACAGACGAGGAAATGAAACCCAGCAATGATAAAAGACCAGGTGAAAGGTCACCCAGCTAGTAAGTGGCAGAGGCAAGAGGTGAACTGAAGCCTGTCTCACTACGGAGCCCGTATTCTCATGCGCTGTGTGTAGTGCATTCCAGACTGCATTCATCTTGGTATCCCTACAACACCTAAAAAATCAGCATTATATTATGCCTCCCAAACATGTCTATATAGTCAATTGTTGGTTGCAAGCAGCAGAAAACCACTCCGATTATCGTAAGCAGAAAAGAGACTAAGAGGCCACTTTGAATTAAATAGTTTCAAGTTTCTATGAGGCTTCAAAATATGTAAGAAGCAACAAACATTATTAGAAGGTGAAGAATGACGATAGGGATAAGCTGTACAGTATGGGGACTATGATTGATAATAATGTACTGTATATTTGAAATTTGCCATCAAACACACACACACAGAGAGAGAAAGAGAGAGAGAGAGAGAGAGAGAGAGAGAGAGAGAGAGAGAACTATATGGGCCAAAAACCAATAGAGACAGGGGCCCAAGGAGCAGAATACAAGATAATCATCTTTGAGCAGGAAAAAACCTACCAGCATGCCTTGGCCAGATCCTTCCAATGCACATGGATTCTTTTTTTTTTTTTTTTGAGATGGAGTCTTGCCCTGTCACCCAGGCTGGGGTGCAGTGGCGCAATCTCAGCTCACTGTAGCCTCTGCCTCCTGGGTTCCAGAGATTCTCCTGCCTCAGCCTCCTGGGTAGCTGGGATTACAGGCTCATGCCACCATGCCCAGTTAATTTTTGTATTTTTAGTAGAGACAGGGTTTCACCTTGTTGGCCGGGATGGTCTCGAACTCCTGACCTCAGGTGATCTGCCAGCCTCGGCCTCCCAGAGTGCTGGGATTACAGGCGTGAGCCACCACACCCAGCCAATGCACATGGATTCTAGCTTTCCATTCATCTTTGCCTCACACCACACTTTTATTCACAATATAAAGTCTAGGGTGAGAGCATCTGATTGGCCAGCCTGTCATTGGCCTCTGTGCTAACTAAAAGCGTGCTGGGGAAGAGGTTAGTCTCTAGACCTTCCTACTTCCCTAGAGGGAGGGGTAGCTTGCTGTGACTGACAGAGTGGGAATTTCCCCCAAATAGAGGGAGGGCATGGATGCTAGGCTGCCACAAACATTGACAAATGTCCATCACAACAGGGATGCATTAACTCAGGCCTACAACAATCCCTGAAACACAATTTATGTCACGTTCTAGTCCCCTTACTGATATTAGAGAAACCCCAGAAGCACGATTCCAAGTCATCATTTAGCATAGTTTATGCACATGATTCATTTTCATTTTTATTTTAGAAGGTGGCATTTTCTGACCCCCCCCTTGAAGATGCACCCTCTGAGGAGCCTGCAGCCTCCTGCACCTGATGAAAGTGGCCCACTCATGAAAACGCCCAGGCTCCCAGTTGGGGAGAACCATCTCCACCTGAGGGGGGTCCAGATCCAGTGAGAAGAATTGCTTTTTGATTGTTTTTAGATAAAGTGTCTTCAAATAGTGCAGCACTTGCACTTCCTGCCTCGATGGAATTTCAGCGCACCTGGCCTTCCTGCTGCTCACCTGCCCCATCTGTGTTTATCTTCTGCCTAAATCTTGTGAAGGCCAAATGGGTAACGTGAATGCAGCTGGGCCAGCTGTGGCTGGGGGCAGCAACAGCTCCATGTTTTGAGGCCAGATGGAGGCTGCTGTGGTCTAGGGGATGGAGGGGAGCCAGTGGCTGCTGTAGGCCTCCCTGTGCAGTGTGTGGAGCTGCAAGTAGAAGCAGGGCCCAACTGGGGGCGCCACTGGATGAAGCACACCACCCCATCCAAAAGCCTGCTCCTAATGTCCTCAATGAGCTCTCTTTGTTTCTGTTTCTTCTATATATATACCTATCAAATGTGTGTGTGTTTGTGTGTGTATGAAACAGAAAGAAACAAAGATTTCTTTACTCTTTTATCAAAGATATTCACTTGTCAGAGACACTAGAGCAGTGATTCTCAATCCAGGCTGCATATAAACATCAGCTGGGAAGCTTTTATAAATTAAAGCAACTATAAAATAGTTGCAGAGAGCCATGGAGACCTGTAGTGTAGGTGTCTTACAGGCATTTTCAAGTTTTTCTGAGGCTTCAAAATATTTTATATATATTTTATATAGTTTGAGGCCTCGTAAAAACTTGAAAATGCCTGTAAGACACCTAGACTATACGGGCCTCCATGGCTCCGTGCAAAACATGACCAAGCTCAAAAAGACAAGCAAGGTCAGAAGACACCACAGATTTGGCAACAGCCCGTGATCCTTGGGTTCATCTCTAGTCAGAGTGGCTCCTTAAAGTGACACTGGCACTTTTGTGAAACGCTTTCCTGCAGGTTCCTGAGCACACTAATGGAAGCTCTCTCTGAGAATTATGCACGAGAGTGTCATTGTAGAACTCTTTTTAACACATCCACCACAGGTATAATGAAACACAGGCTACATACTGATAAAATGGAAGGACCAAATGAAACAAGCCTATTCATATGCACTTGTGTGTCTCTTTGCATCTGTGGTTTTCAGACTTTGGTGTGCATCAGAATCTCCTACAGGACTTGTTAAACACAGATTGCTGGGCCACACGCTGAGTTTCAGATTCAGTAGGTCTGAGATGAGGCCCCAGGAGTTGCAGCAAGTACTCAGGTCATGCTACTGTGTCACCTGAGGCCCATTTGTGACAGTCTGTCTGTTCTGTGTAATAAAAAAGTTCACATTTGCCTTTTCTCTATGTCTGATATGAGGCTGGCCTGTCTTACATTGGACATCTCTGGGGAGATACCAGGAAAAGGACAGACAAAGCGGAACTGCCTGAAATGATATTCATTAATCTGGATTCTGAGTAGCTAAACTGAAACTTGATTGTGCTCTTACCCCCAGCTCCTCCTGGGCCTGGAACAAAGACAGGCTACATGTGAGGCAGCAGGCATTGGAAGGAGGAGGACTGGGTTAGGGTTAGTTTTAGGGCAAGTGAGTTACCTCCATCCTCACCACCCAGCTATGTAGTAATGAATTAGCCTCTTCTAGATGGTCTGCAGTCTATTACATTGTTATAAAAGTTTGGCTTATATAAGTGTCTAAAAATGTTTTATCATAAAAAATGTTAAACACCTGGAAACTTAGAAAGAATAGTGCAATGAATACCTATATGTACCCAGGAACAAAATTCAATTATTAAAATTTTACCTGTTTGTTTCCTTTTGAGACAAAGTCACATTTTCACCCAGGCTGAACTGCAGTGGCACAATCTCGGCTCACTGCAACCTCTGCCTCCTGGGTTAAAGCAATTCTCATGCCTCAAACCTCCCGAGTAGCTGGGATTACAGGTGTGCGCCATCATGCCGGGCTAATTTTTGTATTTTTTTTTTTTAGTGCAAACAGGGTTTCTCCATGTTGGCCAGGCTGTTCTCGAACTCATGGCCTCAAGTGATCCACCCACCTCAGCCTCCCAAATTGCTGGGATTACAGGCGGGAGCCATCACCCCCAGCCAGTTTGTTTCATTTACATATCATCTATAAGTTTTGCTGACATCATCTCCAAAAAAGCAAGGACGTCTTCTACACAATCACAATGTCATTATCACCTAAATGTTAACAGTATTCCCCAATGTTGTCTTATACCATTTCTTCCTTTTATCCCCAAAATGTCTTTTATGGCTATTGTTTCTTTGAGTCATATACAGAACTTAAGCAATGTCAGGGCTAGGATGAGATGAGTTAAAAAGGCCCCAGAAAACTCAGTAATCAAGAGTAATAATATTGTAATGCAATATTTCAAAAAGTCAAATGAGCTACCTATGCCTGTAGGCCAGCTGCATGTTTTTGCAGGAAAAGTTTTACGGGGCTGGGATTAGCATGAGATGAATGAGGCAGGGTTGTACAAATGTAGGCTCTTTAAACTTCTGATATTTTGTTCACCATGGGTTTTTATATTAATTTTGATTTTGAAAATATTGCATTAAAATTGTATTGCTCTTGATCAATGAGTTTTTGGGCATTCTCTTAAATTTTGCACTTAAGTGCCTCACTCACCTCACCTTAGTAGTGCCAGCCTGACTCTTAATGCTCCGTTCATCTCCACTTCATTCACAACTTTGACTTTTTCGATTCTTTTATTCAGTATTTATGGAGCACACAGCCAGCCGGACAAAATGCTCTGCAGATTAAATTAGAACCCCTGATATAAGAAGGAAATGTTCTAATATCGAACATGACCATATAATGCACAGAAGAAGCAACAAATGACACAGAACAAGAACAGGGAAAGAAGACAGGGACATTTCCCTCATCCATGCCTGGCTCAGGCTCAGGATCTTACTGATCCCCTGCTGATGAAAGACTGGAAATTAAGAACAGAAAAAAGCCCACCCATGACTCCTCTTAGCTCCTACTTCCTCATTTTTCTGCTCCCTTCATGGCCAAACTTCTCTAAAGAATACAACTTAGACTTGTTTCCAGAGACCACACCAGTTGTCTTCCGGTCTGCCCCAGACTCTGAGCTTGCAGACTTCTCTCCTCATGGTGTCACAAAACTTCTTCGTTGATCTCCTGTATTCCCCCCAAAATGGAACCTAAAGCCTTAATAAGATTCAAGTTAAACATTTTGGGGATGATTACCTTAGAAGTGACATGGTGTGCCTCGTGTTGCATCACCTGGAGAGGTATGTGGTGTGTGATTGTCCTGGATTTGTACAGTTTTAATTCCATCAGTTCTGAGTCTATGTGGCTTGGATTCTGAGAAGGAACATTCTATTGACTGTACTATCAAGGCAGAGGGAACTGAAGACTCAGATGAGAACATCATCATACTGTGGAATTTCTAATAGGTAAGAACATTTTGTTTTGTTTCGTTTTGTTTGTTTTTGTTTTTGAGACGGAGTCTCGCTCCGTTGCCAGGCTGGAGTGCAGTGGCACGATCTCGGCTCACTGCAACCTCTGTCTCCTGGGTTCAAGCAATTCCCCTGCCTCAGCCTCCCCAGTAGCTGGGACTACAGGCACGGCCACCATGCTCAGCTAATTTTTGTATTTTTAGTAGAGAAGAGGTTTCACCATGTTGGCCAGGATGGTCTCCATCTCTTGACCTCGTGATCCACCCACCTCGGCCTCCCAAAGTGTTGGGATCACAGGCGTGAGCCACGGCGCCCGGCTGGTAAGAACATTTCTTATTCATTTTATGGAACAATGTGGACGTCTTCCACAAAATTAGTTTACATGTTGAAAACCCTCACGAATTGAACGTCATTTATAAAAGTTATTTATTAAAATGTTTATAATGTAGTTTCCTTATTAAAATAAACTTTTTATTTTGAAATAATTTTAGATTAACAGAAAAGTTGCATGATAGTAAAGAGTCCCATATATTCATTCAGTTGTGAAGCTGGAGTGCAGTGGCCCGATCGTGGCTCATTGCAACCTTGAACTCCTGGGCTCAAGCCATGCTCCCACCTCAGCCTAGTGAGTAGCTGGGACTACAGGCAAGCGCCACATGCCCAGCCGATTTTTAAACTTTTCTGTAGAGATGAGATCTCACTATGTTGCCCTGGCTGCTCTCAAACTCCTGGCCTCAAGCGATCCTCCTGTCTTGGCCTCCCAAAATGCTAGGATTACAGGCATGAGCCACCACACTCAGCCCCATATACTGTTTTCTTTCTTTTACTTTTCTTTTCTTTTCTTTCTTTTTTTTTTTTTTTTTTGAGGAGGAGTCTCACTCTGTTGCCCAGGATGGTGCAATGGCGCAATCTCTGCTCACTGCAACTTCTGCCTCCTGGGTTCAAGTGATTCTCCTGCCTCAGCCTCCTGAGTAGCTGGGATTACAGGCACGTACCACTGCACACAGCTAATTTTTGTATTTTAGCAGAGATGGGGTTTTACCATGTTCCCCAGGCTGGTTTTGAACTCCTGACCTCAAGCAATCCATCCACCTTGGCCTCCCAAAGTGCTGGGATTACAGGCATGAGCCACCATGCCCAGCCTTTTTTTGTTTTCTTTTTTTTCTTTTTTCTGAGACAGAGTCTTGCTGTGTTCCTCAGGCTGGAGTCTGGTGGCACAATCTCTGCTCACTGCAACCTCTGCCTTCCAGGTTCAAGTGATCCTCCTGCCTCAGCCTCCGAGTAGCTGGGATTACAGGCGTGTACCACCATGCCCAGCTAATTTTTGAATTTTTAGTAGAAACGGGGCTTCACCATGTTGGCCAGGCTGGTCTCGAACTCCTGATCTCAAATGATCTGCCCACCTCAGCCTCCCAAAGTGCTGAGATTACAGGCATGAGCCACCATGCCTGACCCCCTTATACTTTGAACCCAGTTTGCCCTAATGTTAAAAATCTTATATAGCTATGACACATTTATCAAAATTAAGACATTAACATTGGTACAATGATATTAACTAAACTATAGATTGTATTCTTTTCCAGGATACCACATATCATTTAGTAACTTTCTCTCTTTCTTAAGGTTGTTGTGATTTTTCAAATTGTGGTAAAATATACATAACATAAAATTTACCATATTAACCATTTTTAAATGTGTGGTTCAGTGACATTAAGTACACTCACATTGTTGTGTAACCATCACCACCATCCATCTCCAGAACGTTTTTATCGTTCCAAACTGAAACTCTGAAACATTAGACAAGTTTCTTTTTAAGTATTAATTTTCAAACCTCCAGTACATTAAATTGAAATAATTTAGCCTGGGCCTGGCTTGGTGGCTCATGCCTATAATTCCAGCACTTTGGGAGGCTGAGATGGGTGGATCACTTCAGGCCAGGAGTTCGAGACTAGCCTGGCCAACATAGTAAAACCCCGTCACTACTAAAATACAAAACTTAGGTGGATGTGGTGGCACATGCCTGTAATCCCAGCTACTTGAGAGGCTGAGGCAGGAGAATTGCTTGAACCTGGGAGGCAGAGGTTGCAGTGAGCTAAGATCATGCCATTACAATCCAGCCTGGGTGACAGAGCAAGACTCTGTCTCAAAAACAAAAAAAAAAAGAAGAAGAAGAAGAAAGAAAAGAAATAATTTAGTTGAACATTCTTGGAGAAAGACTGCTCTCAGGTTATATCAGCTCCTGCTTTTTTCTGCCCTTATTCACATGCCCAGCTTGTATTACCTGCCTCAGTAGAACCTGGTCAAGCAAAAACAAATGCTGTCAGAGTGCCAGATCTATTTCCCTTTCTCCATGTAGCATTACCTTGATTTTGCTTTAGAGATTGCCCCTTACTTTTTGCTTGAAGCTTTAGGGGAATTGTCAGGCATGATGTCTTGTTCTCTGTGTGCCATGGTATGGCGGGTAACTCGAACTCTAGCTGGGTGTGTGAATAAGGGCAGAAAGGAGTCAGAGCTGAAACATCCTGATAATGACATCCTGAAGAACCAACCTTTAACTTCTGTGACTTCCTTCCCCAGAGCTACCCTGGTTCTCGTCCCTATTATTACAGCATTTTTTTAAAAAGACTCTTTCTCGCTCTGTATCTTTCCAATAAGTTCCACTCCCTACCCCCCTTAAGTTAGTCAGAGTCAGGCACAACCAAGAACCCTATTTGATATAGGAAATTATTTTAACACAAAGACCCTTGGAGTCAAATCAATTCCAGAAAAGCATTTAATAATTTATTCTACTCTGTCAACACCAAACTATTGCACAGTGAGAAAAGGCTGTGGTGGAATGATGTCTGGAAGCAGCCTCTCCACCTGAGGAGGGGTCTCTGAGCTCTGAGATTGATGACATAGGTTCTAGAAAAATACATAAAATTAAAAATAGAGAGAGATTCTGCCACATACATGCTCTCAGGCACTTTAGGAACCATATAAGCTGTTTCCTGCCCTTTTCTGGGTACCTTAGTAGAGGGCTGGGTGCGGTGGCTCACGCCTATAATCCCAGCACTTTAGGAGGCCGAGGCGGGCAGATCACGAGGTCAGGAGATTGAGACCATCCTGGCTAACACGGTGAAACCCCGTCTCTCCTAAAAATACAAAAAATTAGCTGGGCGTGGTGGCGGATGCCTGTAGTCCCAGCTACTCGGGAGGCTGAGGCAGGAGAATGGCATGAACCCGGGAGGTGGAATGTGCAGTGAGCCAAGATTGTGCCACTGCACTCCAGCCTGGGCGACAGAGTGAGACTCCGTCTCAAAAAAAAAAAAAAAAAAAAGTAGAGAGAGACTCTGCCACATACATGCTGTCAGGCATTTTAGGAGCCATGTAAGCTGTTTCCTGCCCTTTTCCGGGTACCTTTTGAAAGCCAACATTAGGATAGAAGCATAGAGGCTGTGCCACTAGAAAGATTCTGGTGAGAATCGTGGCTGCTTGTTGCACACGTAACCTAGGTAAGTTACCTGATCCCTGAACCTCAGTTTCCTCATCAGCAAAATGAAAGATGATGTCTCATAAAGCTGTGAGAGTGGAAGAGATCACGTTTGCTGAGCACCTGGAGTGTTGTAGGCATTCACCCTGGTTGTGCCTATTTTTCTCAGACCATTCTTTGCTACTGAAACGACTTCTGCAAAGAAGTTGGGGTGGCTTAGATATTGAACTGGCTTGTTTGGCAGGTTATGTTTGGTGCCTATGCATGAGAAACTGATTGGCCATTCATAGGACACTGAGCAGTTTGGAGACTCAGGACCTCCTGCATCCTCTGTGCTTGAATGTTTGCATGGTCAACAGTTCAGAAGTATGCACATCCTGCTGAGAGCTCCATAGCTCTGTAAGAAGGAAGGATTGGGTCTCTACACCAAATGCAAAGCCTGGCCTGGCACGGTGGCTATGCCTGTAATCCCAGCACTTTGGGAGGCCATGACAGCAGGGTCGCTTAAAGCCAGGAGTTACAGACTAGCCTGGGCAACATAGTGAGACCCCCCCCCCATTTCTACAAAAATAAAAATAAAAATTAGCTGAGTGTGGTGGTACATGCCTGTAGTCCCAGTTACTCTGGAGGCTGAGGTGGGAGAATAGCTTGAGCCTGGGAGGCCAAGGTTGCAGTGAGCCGTCATTGCACCACTGCCCTCTAGCCTGGGTGACAGAGCAAGACCCTGTCTCAAAAGCAAAACAAACACAAACAAACAAAAAACAAATGCAAAACCCCAGGAGCTCTCCCAAGACACTATCGGTCAGTTCTGTAAACAATCACTGGAGGTGCAGAGGAGCTGCCCATCTTCAAGGAGTTCTGTAGCCTCTGACATGGCTGTATGGGGTCAGTTCCCTGAATATAGGTTGCTTTTTCATATTTCTGCAAAGTAGGCCCCTTCTGCCTGGATACCCTTCCCATCTATAATGGCTTATTGAGTGCAGGGCCAGCATTGGAATTGTGCAATGTACAACCTGCACGACTGTAAATAGCAGCCTTGGGTAAGAGAATGGGCTACACAGTCAGGAAAAGCTGCATCTATTTCTCATTTCTGCTATTCATTCTTAGTGAAGAGGTGAGCAGGTTGACTTTATTTATTTATTTATTTATTATTAGTATTTTTTTGAGACAGTGTGTCACTCTGTCACCCAGGCTGGAGTGCAGTGATGCGAGCTTGGCTTAGTGCAACCTCTGCCTCCTGGGTTCAAGTGACTCTCCTTCTTCAGCCTCCTGAGTATCTGGGACTACAGGCATGTGCCACCATGCCCAGCTAATTTTTGTATTTTTAGTAGAGATGGGGTTTCACCATTTTGGTCAGGATGGTCTTGAATGCCTGACCTCAAGCGATACACCTGCCTTGGCCTCCCAAAGTGCTGGGATTACAGGCCTGAGTCACGTGCCCAGCCTATTTATTTATTTATTTGAGACAGGGTCTCGCTCTGTCACCCAGACTAGAGTGTAATGGCATGATCACAGCTCACTGCAGCCTCAACCTCCCGGGCTCAAGCCATCCTCCCACCTCAGCCTCCCAAGTAGCTAGGTCCACAAGTGCATGCTACCATATCCAGCTATTTTTTTTTCTTTTTGTAGAGACAGAGGACTCACTATGTTGCCCAAGCTGGCCTCAAACCCCTAAACTCAAGTGATCCTCCTGCCTCGGCTTCCCAAATCCTGGGATTATAGGTGTGAGCAGCCATGCCCCACCAAGGCGACCTTGCTAAATCTCACTTTCTTCATTTGTGAAGTTGGAATAATTACAGTAGTGACCTCTTAGAGTTGTGAGGATTAAAATAAAACAATATATATAGGGAGATTTTAGCACAGTGCTTGGCATGTAGAAGACGCTTTAAAAAAGCTGTAATAATGATTATTCTTTCTGGCAAACTTTTACTCTACTTTAAAGCCTTTTCCAATTCTTTCCAAAGCTGAGTCAAATGCCTCTTCTATGTGCTCCCATTCCCCACTAGCGCTGCTGCCAGTACCGCTGGGTTCCTTCCAGAACTGTGACCTCTTGACAGCAGGGATTGTGTCTTTTATACTAGGGTCACCAGTACCAATAACAATGCTGGGAACATAGTAGGAACCCAATAAATGCTAGTTAAAGGAATGAACGCATGAATGAATGTCTACATGTTATCTTTGATGGGACCAAAGGGAAGCTTGCTCTTCTTATTTTCTGTTAGAAGCCGATAATGGGAGAAAGAGGCAGAGAAATGGGAACGGAGAGTACGGACTGGACACTTAGCAAACGCAAGTCACTCTTTCCTGTGGTCATTTTTTGGGTGGAAAGAAAACTGAGTGAAACCTTGTTCTAAGCTGGGTCTGAGAAGATAAACAAGCCAAGAGTTCTACCTAGACAATGGCCTGATTCTCCCTGACGGGGGAAGGTGGGAGCCAGACAAACATCCCCTTCCAATTTCCTTCCGTCTGTGCTCAGCTCCTACAAAGTATCACAGCCCACCCCCCTCACCCCCTGCCAAAGCCTTTCCTTCATAGAAGGTGTCTTCAAATCCAAGCCAGGCTCTTATCCGGTGAGATCTTTGAAGGCTGGAAGGAGCTGCAATGAGTCTGAATCACTCCCAACCACAATGGCCTTAGAATGACAGACGGTTTCTGTTTCCAGGGCGTGTTCTAAATTGGATTCTTTTGGTGGCTCAATTTGCTTCCACAAGGCCCCTGCCAACCAGGAGCTGAGATGAGCAGTTTGCATAGATCAAATTATTGAACTTCAAAACACCCATGAAAAATTGTGAAAACAAAACAACAGCAGAAGTACAAAGTACGAAGAGATGTGGTTTCCCAGGAGCACGTGTGAAAAATGACTTTGCAGTCCAGATGCCTGCAGGCCCAGCATGAGTCAGCTGAAGGATGTGGAGGCCAAAAAACCTCAGACAAGTCTGGACCAAGCAGAGCTTCCAGAAAAAGAAAGGTGACGGCCAACTCCACTCCACACTGGCCGGACCACCCTGGAGGAGGGCTGGCTCCCTCTAGATGCCATCATGTGACAGGAAAGGGTGTGTTCTGAGTGGAGTTACCAAGATTGGGAGGGGTTGGGAGAGGACTCAAAAGTTGGACAAGAGGAGAGGAGATGTGTACCCTGCGGAAGAAAGTGGTTAGTGTCAGGGTGGTCTTCTGCCTGCAGCTTCTGCTTGTTAGTCCTTCCCCTCCTGTCATCCTGGAGAAGGCCTATTCATCCCTTAGGCCTCAGCGCCTGCCACCTGTTCTGAGAAGCCTTCCCTCACCTCTGTAAGCAGAACCAGCCACACCTGCATTTGGACCTCCTTCTCCTGCACTGGGAGTCAGGTCCCTTCATTACAGCACACCTCCTGTGGAAGAATGTTTTGAGTGTATGGCTAGGCAGGGACCTCGTCCTACTTATCTTTGCATGCCTACTGCCTGGTACAGTGATCACTCTTCAAATGTCTGATGAATTAAATTGTTGGCATGAAAACTGGCACCAAACATTTTGACCATGAGGAAGAGAGATTGTATTTTTTCTAGGTGGCCCAAAAAGACGGAACTGGAAGAGAGGGTGGTGATTACAAGAAAGTGGATTTCAGCTCAAAATCAGGAAGTACTTTATAATAGTAATGACAGCAATTTTATTGTGTGTTTTAGTCACCTATTGCTGCATAATAAATTGCTCCAAAATTTGAGGCCTAAAACAACAATAAGTGTTTATGATCTCACACACTGTATATGGGTTAGGAATTCAGGAGCAGCTTAGAAGAGTGGTTCTAGCTTAGGATCTGTCATGAGTTTGTAGTCAAGATACTAACTGGGGCTGTAGTCATCTGAAGGCTTAATTGGGGCTGGAGGATTGGCTGCAAGATGGCTGGATTGGCTGGGCATGGTGGCTAATCCCTGTAATCCCAGCAATTTGGGACTCTGAGGTGGGAGGATCACTTGAGCCCAGGAGTTTGAGACCAGCCTGGACATCATAGGGAGACTCTGTCTCTACAAAAAACACAAAAATCAGCTGGGTGTGGTGGCACATCCTGTAGTCCCAGCTACTCAGGAGGCTGAGGTGGGAGGATCACTTGAGCGAGATTGTGACATAAGATTGCCATGGTAAAATGGAGCAGATCTGGACCCGAGCCAAATAAATGTGGCATAAATAAAGGTGTCATAAAGACAGGGCGGGGCGCACGCTTATAAGGGGCATGAGCATCTCAGGGCTGCCAGAATGGCTCCCAATCAGTGCACGGCACTAGCATGTGTCATGTCCTGGCTGCGTTTCTGGGGCCCGTGGCCCCTCCTTACGTGGCAGCTATTGTGTCTCCTAGTGGCAATTATTGTGTCTACTAGTCAAGGAGGCTCCACATCTGGTGTTGGTCAAGGACCCGCTCCAGCTGACCTCTAACCCCTGGGGTCACCTGAGCCCTGGTCTTCCCGCTCCTCCCATCTCCCATGGGAATCTCCTCATGCACCTGCTCCCCCAGCAGCCCCAGGGGACTTTGATTACCTGGGGCCCTCTGCTTCCTCACAGGTGTCAGCCCTGCCCCAGGAATCAAATGAAAATTTGGTTCCATTCCTGGATACGGATTCAGGTGGAGAGCTGCCCCTGGGGCCAGAGCAGTTCTTGGCTGCACATCAGGATTTAAATGACAAGCGGACTCCACAAGAAAGGCTCCCAGAGGTGGTTCCACTGCTGGACAGGGATCAGAACCAGACCCTAGTTCAGCTTCCTCGCCTCAAAAGTAAGTTTCAAACTGCAGATCTAGATCGGGCTGCAGGTCATCAGGCAGATGAAATACTTGTTCCGCTAGACAGTAAGGTTTCAAAACCAACCAAATTTGTTGTTTTTCCAAAGAACTTGAAGAAAGATCTAGCTGAGCGTTGGAGCCTTGCTAAGATTGTCGGGATTCCACACCAATTATACAAACCTCAGCGTCAGAAACAGACTTTGCAGATGAATATTTGAGTATGGACACACTGTATTCCGGCAGCCTGCCTCCAGAACTCCGGGTGAATGCAGATGAGCCTCCAGGGCCTCCTGAGCAAGTTGGACTTTCTCAATTCCATCTAGAGCCTGAAACTCAAAATCCAGAGACCCTTGAAGACATCCAGTCCTCTTCACTCCAGGAAGAAACCCCAGCACAGCTTCCACTGCTCCCTCAGGAGGTAGAACCTTCAACCCAGCAGGAGGCCCCAGCTCTGCCTCCAGAGTCCTCTATGGAGAGTCTAGCTCAAACTCCACTGAATCATGAAGTGACAGTTCAACCTCCAGGTTGCTCATTACAACTTTCCCAACGTTACAGTCAAACCTGCAGATGTGGAAGTTACCATGACTTCAGAGCCCAAAAATGAGACAGAATCTTCCCAAGCCCAGCAGGAGGCCCCAATTCAGCCTCCAGAGGAGGTGGCACCTTCTGCAACCCAACAGGAGGCCCCAACTGAGCCTCCAGGTCCTCCTATGGAGCCTGAACTTTCCCCCAGTGAACAGGAGCAGCCAGCTCAGCCTTCTGAGTCTTCTGGAGAGGTTGAATCTTCTCCAGCCCAGCACGAGACCCCAGCTCAGCCTCCAGAAGAGATGGAACCATCTGCATTCCAAGAGGAGGCCCCAACTGAGCCTCCACGTCCTCCTATAGAGCCTGAACTTTCCCCCAGTGAGCAGGAGCAGCTAGCTCAGCCTTCTGAGTCTTCTGGGGAGGTTGAATCTTCTCCAACCCAGCAGGAGACCCCAGCTCAGCCCCCAGAACATCATGAAGTCCCAGTTTCACCTTCAGGTTACCATGAAACTCAGCATTCAGATTTTCCCAATGTCTCTGTTAAGCCTCCAGACGTGCAGCTCACTATAGCAACAGAGCCTAGTGCAGAGGTGGAAACTTCTCCAGTCCACCAGGAGGCTACAGCTCAGCTCTCAGGTCCAGGTAATGTAGAACCTCCCGCCATCCAGCACGGGTGCCCACCTCTGCCTCCAGAGTCATCAGAAGAGGCTGGACATTTACAAATTCAACAGGAAACTTCAGTTCAATCTCCAGAACCTATTAATAAAGAGAACACCACTCCAACCCAGCAGGAGGCTGCAGCTGAGCATCCACAGACCGCTGAGGAGGGTGAGTCTTCTCCAATCCAGCAGGAGGCCCCAGCTCAGCCCTTAATGTCCCCTGAGCAGTTTCAACATTTGAAAGACCAGCAAGACATTATAATTCAGCAGCTAAATAGACCTGAAAATTATGAACCTCCTCCAGTCCATAAAGAGCCTACAACTCAGCCTCCAACTCAGCTCTCCTCAGACTTTGTAAGTTCAATGGATGATGAAGCAATAGGTTCACCTCCAGATGTGTCATATCTAGATCTAGATAGGGAGCTTACCAAACCTACAGCAGTCACTATGTGGGTAGAACCTTCTCCAGTCCAGCAGGACAACCCTTCTATTCCCACTGAGCAGGCTGACTTTTCTTTAACCCAGCCTGATCTCCCTTCCCCACCTCTGCATTCTCCTGAGAAGATTGAATCTCCAGTCCACCAAGAGGCCACAGCTCAGACTCCAGATCCCCCTAAGGAGGCAGAACCTTCTCCAGTCCAGCAAGAGTTCCCAGCTGAGCCACCAGAGCCCCCTAAGGAGGTTGAACCATCTGCAACCCAGCAGGAAGCCTCAGGTCATCCTTGGAAGTCCACTGAAGCGGTCAGTCCTCCACCACAGTGGGAGACACCAGCTCAGCCATCAGAGCCACCTGAGAAGGTTGACCCATCTCCAGTCTACAGCAGGCCCCAACTTGGCTTTTAGAGCCACCTAAAGAGGTAGAATCCTCTCCAGTCCAGCAGGCAGTCCCTGCTCAGTCTTCAGACCCCACTATGGTGATAGAACCCTCTCTGACCCAGCAGATGGCCCCATCTTTGCCTCCAGGGTTCCCTCAGGAGGTAGAACCATCTGTAACTCAGCAGGAGGTTCCAGCTCAGATTCCAGAGCCCCCTGTGGAGGCAGAACCTTCTCTGACCCAGCAGGAGGCCACAGTTCAGGCTGCAGAGTCCCCTAGGGAGGTAGAATCTTCAAGGCAGCAAATGGTCCCAGTTCAGCTTCCAGAGCCACCTAAGGAAGTTGCAGCTCAACCTCCAGCTCATTATGAGGTGACAGTCCCAACACTAGGCCAGGATCCAGCTCAGAATTCAACATTGCCCAGTGTCACTGTTCAACCTTTGGACCTGGGACTTACCATCATTCCAGAATCAACGACAGAGGTTGAACTTTCTCCAACCATGCAGGAGACCCCAACTCAGCCTCCTAAGAAAGCTCTACAACAACTTGTACTATATCAAGAGGTAAAAATTCCAACACCAGGTCAGGATCAAGCTCAGCATCCAATGTCACCCAGCATTACAGTTCAACCTTTGGACCTGGGACTTACCATCACTCCAGAACCCACTATGGAGGTTGAACATTCTACACCCCTGAAGAGAACTATAGTTCCTCCAAAGCACCTTAAGGTGATACTTCCACATCCAGACCAGTTTCAGACTCAGCATTCACACCTGACTGAAGCCACAGTTCAACCTTTGGATCTGGAGCTTACCATCACTCCAGAATCCACAACAGAGGTTGAATCTTCTACAGCCCTGACGACTACAGCTCCTCCTCCAGAACACCCTGAGGTGTTCACCTTCAGACAAGGGTCAGGCTCAGCTTTCACACCTGACCGAAGCCACAGTTCAACCTCTGGACCTGGAGCTTAGCATAACTACAGAGCCTACTACAGAGGTTAAACCATCTCCAACCACGGAGGAAACCTCAGCTCAGCCTCTAGACCCGGGGCTTGCCATAACTCCAGAACCTACTACAGAGATTGGACATTCCACAGCCCTGGAGAAGACTAGAGCTCCTCATCCAGACCAGGTTCAGACTCTGCATCGAAGCCTGACTGAAGTCACAGGTCCACCTACAAAGTTAGAATCTTCGCAGGATTCATTGGTGCAGTCTGAAACTGCACCAGAGGAACAGAAGGCCTCCACAGGCACCAACATATGTGAGCTCTGCACCTGCGGAGATGAGACTCTGTCATGTGTTGGTCTCAGCCCAAAGCAGAGGCTCCGCCAAGTGCCTGTGCCAGAGCCCTACACCTACAATGGCATCTTCACCACCTTGTAAGAATCACCTTTCCTCAATCATCCTCTGTGTCTTGCCTGACATGGCAGCCTTTTCCTGGAGGCCTTCCAGGGCCTTCTTTATCTCCCCAAGCCATACTGACAACTGACTTTCTGCTTTCACCTTTGCTTGTCAATTCTCCCTTCTCCTCATTCTCCTTTAATGTTAGACCCATTCTCCAGTCTTTTACTTTTTCTCCAGTCTTTTACTCTTACTCGTTTTCTTATCCATTCTTATTTACCCCATCACATCATTGCTTAACCGCTGCTCTGCTCCTATTTTCGCTTCACCCTCTTTTTTTTTTTTTTTTTTTGAGACAGAGTTTTGCTCTTGTTGCACAGGCTGGAGTGCAATGGCACGGTCTTGGCTCACCGCAACCTCCATCTCCCAGGTTCAAGTGATTCTCCTGCCTCAGCCTCCTGAGTTGCTGGGATTACAGGCATGTGCCACCACACCTGGCAACACACAAAAAACATTCTTTGTATTTTTAGTAGAGACGGGGTTTCTCCATGTTGATCTCCTGACCTCAGGTGATCCACCCACCTTAGCCTCCCAAAGTGCTAGGATTACAGGCGTGAGCCACCGCGCCTGGCCCGCTTCACCTTCTTTACAGCAGCCTGTCACTCTCCCGATCTCAGTGATGATGCTCTAAGTGGTTAAGAATTGATTCTGGAGCCAGGCTGCCTGGGTTTGAACCCAGGTCTGTTTATTAGCTTGGTGATCCAGAGCAAGTTATTCTGCTCTGTGACTCAATTTCCTCCTTTTAAACTGGGGATTATGCTAGTTACCATTTCATAGGATTGTTGTGAAATTTGGGTGAGTGAATATATGAAACACTTCATCAGTGCCTAGCATATGTAGGAGTGTTGGCTGTTAACATGATTACTCTGTCCTTTAGTTATGTCCAGAACTCCTCTTTGTCCCTGGCTTTTTATATGTAGCACTCATTTTGTGACAAACCCAGGACAAAGTATGCTATTGTCCGCAGAACATGAAGATGATAGGAGGGAAGAAAGAGAATAGGCATAAAAAGGGCGGTGTATATAATTAATTCCTGAAAGATAATGCATACCATCGTTGCTAGAATTTACCAGAATCTGTGGTCCTTGAGGTGTGGAGATCAGGGAAAGCTACATGGATAAGCTAAAAGTTTACTTGGGTCTTAAAGAGTACACAATGAGGTATGGAAAGCCATTGAAAGTTTCCAAGCAAGAGAGATTAAATGATTAAAACAGGAAGATTATTTTATTTTATTTTGTTTTTTTTGCTTTATGTTCAAGTATAGACATGCAAAGGATTATTTTAGAATCCATATGTAGAGTGCCCAAAAGGAAAAGCTTATTTCAGGGAGACAAAATAGAAAGGTCTAGCAAAATGTAGGAGTAAAGTGTGAAGGGGCTAAATCAGATCAGTTGTAATAAGAGTGGAAAGAAAAAGCCTAGGATGTTTCAACAGAGGGCAAAGCTTTGGTGTTACCTGGCATAGGGTTTCTTTCTACTTATTTATCGATAAAGATAAGCTTATGCCCATTTTTCTGTTGAATTATTTACCATTTTTGTGTTGATTTGTAGGAGTTTGTTTAGACACATAAGTGCTTTTGGATAAAATACTTACATTCAACGTAATTAACTGGCATCGTCTGTCCAAGAGATGGGATGGATAGGAAGTTAAGCTTCCGGGAGATGCCTCATCATTTGTGCCAGCGGCCCTGCATTATTTCTTGATGAATTGTGCAAACTGGGAAGCTGATAGCTCTGGAAATGAGAAAGCAGGTGTTATTTTCTGTTTCCGAATATCCCCGACAAGGTTGCCATGATTCTTTTATTTATCCTGTTCATTCTTTTCCTGCCTATTCAAGGATATAAACTGTCTTTCTTCACAGAAATTTCCAAGGAAACTATATTTCATACATTGATGGAAATGTATGGAAAGCATACAGTTGGACCGAGAAACTGTGAGTATATTCTCTCCAAATATGACAAAAAACTAACTGCATTATAAGATCCTTCTTGGTCCAGAATTTTGAGGTCTATACCTCTGAGAAAAGATATTTCCCCTCCATACCCGAAATCAACCTCTGTGGATTGCAATCCTATGGTTATTTTAAAATTAAATTTGGGAAGCTCTCTCTAAGAGGCAATTTAAATTTATTTTTTATCATACAAATAATACATGGTTATATTCTTTTTTTTCTCTTTTTTTTTCAGAGACAGGATCTTACTTTGTCCCCTGGGCTGGAGTGCAGTGGCATAATCACATCTCACTGCAGCCTTCACCTCCCAGGCACAAGTGATCCTCCCACCTCAGCCTCCCAAGTAGCTGGGACCACACACAAGTGCATGCCACCACATCCACCTAATTTTGTATTTTTTGTAGAGACGGGTTCTTCCTATGCTGCTTAGGCTGGTCTTGAGCTCCTGGGCTCAAGTGATCCTCCCACCTTGGCCTCCTAAAGTGCTCATATTATAGGCATGAGCCACCACCCCCAGCCCATGATTCTATTTTTAATGTATAAAAATGCAATAACAGGTATAACAAAAACCCTCCTTCTGCCCTACTTTCTCGTCCCTGAGGTAATGCTACTGTGTGTTTAGTATACATGCTTCCAGACTTTTCCCCATTTACCTACATACATATTTACATAAAGCAAAATAGATTTGTTGTGTGGTTTTTAAAATCTTTTTTCTTTTCATAAAGGGTAACATCTTGCAACTTGATTCTTTCACTTCATGGTATCACTTATATGATATTCTTTCACTTCATAATTTCTTTCCTTCCTGGGACTTAGAGGGTCACCCCATTCATTTAAACTCCTGCATAATCCATAGTATGGATGCATCAGAGTTTATTTAATAATTTCCCCATTGATGAATGTTGAGCTTATGCTTAGTGGGCAAGTATTCCTATAGCATAGATATCTAGAAATGGAAGAGTTGGGGTGAAGACTATGTAGATATAAAATTTTAATTGTCCTCAAAAATGTTGTGCCAACTGACTGTATTGTCAGCAGAATGTGACAGCATTCATTTCCCCACACCTTTTCACTGTTGGGTATTCACCAAATTTTTGTTGAAGTTATGGATGAATAAAAGGGATTCCATCCAAATTTGAATTTTTCTGATCACTCATGAATTTAATTAAATATCTTTATATGTTTATTGAACATTTGTGTTTCTCCTCTGAGTTTTCTGTCCTTTGTTCATTTTCCTGTTGAATTGTTTTATCGTTGTCTTCCTGATTTATAGAAGGAATTAGTTGAGACACATAAATGATTTTGGAAAAATGCTTACATTCAAAGTAACATTTTTCACAACAGTTTCTGTCACATCATTAGTTTGACTTATATAGACAAGACATACATGAGTTCTAAATTAAAAATCAAACACATACTAGGTGCGGTGGCTCACAGCTGTAACCCCAGCACCTCGGGAGGTCGAGGCAGGCGGATCACCTGAGGTCAGGAGTTTGAGACCAGCCTGGCCAATATGGCGAAACCCCATCTCTACTGAAAATACAAAAATTAGCCAGGCATGGTGGTGGGTGCCTATAATCCCATCTATTTGGGAAGCTGAGGCAGGAGAATTGCTTTATTTATTTTTTGAGATGGAATTTTGTTCTTGTTGCCCAGGCTGGAGTTCAATGGTGCGATCTTGGCTCACTGCAAGTTCCACCTCCCGGGTTCAAGGGATTCTCCTGCCTCAGCCTCCTGGGTAGCTGGAATTACAGGTGCCCGCCACCATGCCCAGCTAATTTTTCTATTTTTAGTAGAGACAGAGTTTCGCCATGTTGGACAGGCTGGTCTCAAACTCATGACTTCAGGTGATTCATGTGCCTTGGCTTTCCAGAATGATGGGATTACAGGCATGAGCCACCACGCCAGGCCAGGACTACATTTTAAAAGCAAGAAAGTCATTACAAAAGTCAGAGTAGTGGTTACCTACTAGGGTTAGAGAGAGGAATATGGTTGGAAAGGGGCACACTGGGGCTTCTGGGATGCTAGCAATAATCTTTTGTAACAATGTTTACATGGGTATCTGCTTTATAATTATTAAACTGAATATTTGGCCAGGTGAGGTGGCTCATGTCTGCAATCCCAACACTTCGGGAGGCAGAGACAGGAGGATCACTTGAGCCAGGAGTCTGAGACCAGTGTGGGTAACAGAATGAGACCCTGTCTCAGAAATTAAATTAAATTAAGTTAAATTAAATTAAAGATAAACAACATTTATGTTATGTGCACTTTACGCACATTGTAGTTCTCAAATTTTTTTGATGGGGGACAAAAGTCGAATGGCTTCACTTGCAGCCCTGACATGGTCCCATGTGGGGCTTTTGTAATAAGGTTTGGGAAAAGAGAGGAGGAAATGGAGGTTCTGCTGATCTTGGTGCCACCCAGAGTTGGATTCTGAAAGGTATATTATGATCTAGAGAGGAGTCATTAAAGATACAATTTGGTGGGAAGAGTGGAGCAGTGTGCTTGTGTGTGTGTGCTTGCACGTGTGTGTGTGCTTGTGTGTGTGTACTTGTGTGTGTGTGCTTGCATGTGTGTGTGTGCTTGCTTGTGTGTGTGCGTGTGTGTGTGTGCTTGCAAGTGTGTGTGCGTGCTTGCCTGTGTGTGTGTGCTTGTGTGTGTGTGCTTGCATGTGTGTGTGTGCTTGCATATGTGTGTGCTTGCACGTGTGTGTGTGTGCTTGCCTGTGTGTGTGGTGGTGGTGGTGGAGAGGGATGGACACGAAAAGGAAAATGGAAGAAAAGGTTTGAACGAAAGCAGAGCAGATCCCACCATCTTGAAATGACCATGACCCAGCTTTCCTCCACATGCAGGAGATAGTCCTGTGTAGCAAATAGTTGTAGTTTGCATTTTAACCTAGAAATAACTTTTTCATTTTCCAGAATTCTCAGTGAAAATTATTTGACTGAATTACCTAAGGATTCATTTGAAGGCCTGCTATCCCTCCAGTATTTGTAAGTTAGTTAATCATATTTTTGAGTTTTTAGTCATATTATCTTTAAAATGAATAAGAGGTTCAAATTAGATAATCTCTAAGATTTCTTCCAGCAATAAAATTCTGCAATTCTGTAAGTTTGTATAGGGTCTCAGCCCATCTCTAGCATTCGCTATGTCCTATGCATTTTCAGTTTTTAAATTGTATAGACAAAATACTGACAGAAAAAATTTCACATGGTAAGAAGATCTGAGCAGTGACTGACACCCATATGAACCTTGTTTTCTAAGGGTTTACATACCATCTTCTTCTATTCAATCTACAGCCAATAGATCAAATCTAACCTAAGGTCTATTTTTTAATAGCCCATTAAGTTAAGAATGGTTTTTGCATTTTTAAAGGACTGTGAAAGAAAAAAGAAAGAGAAATATGTGAGAGAGATCATATGTGGCCCACAAAGCCTTAAAATATTTACTGTCTGACCTTCACAAAAAAAGATTTGAAACAGTTGGTTTAGTAGGATGAAAGGAATTAAAGTTAACGTCAGATTGTTGCCTAAAGGAGAAGAAAATATAGACCACCTACATTCATTTGAACATCATTAATCCAGAATTTTTTGGTAATTTAATCGGAATTAAATTAACATTTAAATATTTGAAATCAGCTGAATTATAGAAATAATATTATCAAGAATATTAAGCTACCAAGAGAATAGACTAGTATTAAGGATTTCATTTCAGGAATTGTTATATTAAAACAGATGTTTAAAATGATGGTTAAGTGGTAGAGCTAGAAATGTTTACAGTAAGAAGCATATCAGAAATGCCCCTAACTCTTCACTAATTACACAGTAACTATCTCCCCAGCCCTGTTACCAAGAAAGGGATACCTGCATAGTATTTCTGTCTGTTTAGAGACAAGAAGATACTATGTTCAATTGCTATGAAAGCTTGATTCTTATCCTCTGTCCGCAGAGGTGTGTATGTCATTAATCCTTATTAGTGATGCTCTTTTGCAGACAGATTCTTTCAAATGTGAAAGGCTTAAGGAAAGTGGGTGTAAAGACCCTCAAGTGGATGCCAAAGTGCTGCAGAGGCCATGAAGTAATAAAACTACATTTGCTTTAAAATAATCATTTTCCTTCTACTCACTCCCCCAGCTATTTATTTATTTATTTATTTATTTATTTATTTATTTATTTTTGAGATGGAGTCTCGCTCTGTCACTCAGGCTGGAGTGCTGTGGTGCGATTTCGGCTCACCCCAAGCTCTGCCTCCCTGGTTCACTCCATTCTCCTGCCTCAGCCTCCCAAGTAGCTGGAACTACAGGCACACGCCGCCACGCCCAGCTAATTTATTGTATTTTTAGTAGAGACGGGGTTTCGCCTTGTTAGCCAGGATGGTCTCGATATCCTGATCTTGTAATCCACCCGCCTCAGCCTCCCAAAGTGCTGGAATTACAGGCATGAGCCACCGTGCCCGGCCAGCTATTCATTTGTTTTACAAATATTTGAATTTACTATTTCCATGTGTCAGTTTTAAACATGGTGGGCAATGCAGATGAGCAAGACCTAGTCCATGCTTTCAAGGAGTTTATGCTCAGAAAAAATGGGATGAAAAATAACTACATTAATAAGAAGAAATGGATGTGGGCACTAGGAGGGATAAATTGTTTCTGAAGCATAGAAGAGGGGAAAATGACTTCAGTTTGGACCCAGGAAGCTGTTACTAGAACAATCCCATTTGAATAGGACTTTGAAGGGCCATTGTGTAGCATCGGACAGACATCTTGGGGACAATATTCTAAACTTGCAAAAGGGAAATGGGAGAAGGGCAAAACACAGGAAAGTATTCGAGGAATGCCATGAGTACCTGTAGATTACAAGGAGGGAGAGTAGGAAATTGGAGCCAGATCTTCTAGGGCTTTGAATGCCAAGCTGCGGAGCCATCATGGGGAACCATGTTATCACAGCAGTGCTGTAAGATGGATCTGCATCACAATCATTGAGAGGGCACGTTAGAACTCAGTTCTGGACTCCGCCCTCATAGTTATTGGATTCAGTTGGTCTAGAGTGGGACCAAGAATTTGCATCCTCAATAATTTCCCAGGAGGTGCTGGTCTTTGCAAGCCACTTCTGGAGAGTTTATATGATGACTGTGTGGAGGATAGTTTAGGAAGGGAGAGACTAGAGATGGAGACATCAGCCAGACAACGTTACACCATCCAGGTAAAGAGGGAGGGAAAAGCCCCATCTCTGTATAACTGAAGAAATTGCTTTCATGAAATATTAAAGCAATATAAAACCAAAAATGAATTTCTATTAATATGATAGAAATTAATTGTATTAATATGATTTGAATATTAGTTCAAAGTTATGTATTAAGTAAAGGGGTAACTTCCTTTCAAATGCTGTTGAAAGGATGTCTTTTACTTCTTCTGATACTGAACTGGCTTAGGAAAACAAACCTCAACTAGGAAGGTGTATAAATGTGAGGCTATTCGTTTTAATATTAGTAACTATATATACAGATAAAAGCTTTGAGCTCATACTCTAGGATTTGATGAGACTACAAAAGGGCATCTAATCAAGTCTACTGCTCTCAGGAGAAATTAATTCCAAAGTCTATTAAGTTGTATATTTTATTTATTAAAAGTATGAAGGCGAGACTCTAGGAGAGGTACAGGCAGGGTTAGGGGCTCTGGAAAGTTCAACTACAGGTCCAAATGTTTAGAGTCGAGATGAAAAATGTGTATTCAATATTATTCTAAACTCTTGCTATTATTCATACTAGTCAACACTGATAACTTATCAAGGCAATATTTTCCTTTTATTTTTCCTGGAGATTCATCCTGCAATAAAATACGGTATATTGAAAGACAAACATTTGAATCACTACCATTTTTGCAGTATACGTAAGTTACAAATATAACTTTATTACATTTGGAATTTTTATAAAACTTAATTATAAACCTCTTTGCTATTCATTTTGAAATATGATTAAAATTTGACCAGTAGAAAGGTACTAAAATTATATAGCAAGTCCTTTTTGTCTCTAGCAAAGATTAGTGTGAGAATTATTACACAGATCATAGTGAATCATCAGAGAGCAGTGGTTCTCAACTGGTGTGATTTTGTACTCAGGTGACATTTGGTAATGTCCAGAGACAGTTTTGCTTGACAAAACTGTGGTTGTGCTCCTGGCATCTGGTGGGCAGAGGCCAGAGATGCTGCTAAACATCCTGCAGAGTGTAAGACAAACCCCCACGGCAAAGAGTTATATAGTCCAAAATGTCGATGGTACTGAAGTTGTGAAATCCTGTTCTAGAGAAATGAAGATCACTTAACACAGGTATTTACTGAGCGTTCACTGTTTTGTAGCTAATGCACCACATGTGCAATATTAAAGTATAAATCATAAGCCAGTATCTTCCACAGTGAGATTGCCTTAGTGCACAGAGAAAGGATTGAGGTGATGTTCCATCCTATGTAAATTAGACTCACAGCAAATGATAAATGTTCTGAAATAATTTTTTTTTCCTTTGGCTTATGTCTTTTTTTGTAGAAATCTGGGCTGCAATTTAATTACAGAACTGAGCCTTGGAACATTTCAGGCCTGGCACGGAATGCAGTTTTTACACAACTTGTAAGTGAAATAGAAGATGAATACGTGTAAACAACTATTTTGTATAAAAACTCATACAATTATTGGTTAGCTGGGTATAAGCCCATTATGAACTCTGAAAAGTGTGTCTTAAGATCCATTCGTTTTTCTCAAATGGGGAAACTAAGGTACAAAGCAGCCAAGAGACTTACACAGCTTATATATGACCTGCTCTGCTTGTCCTAGTTCTGACCTATGGCATGGGCAAGAAAAGGCATCAAACAAGTGACCCTCAAATTAGCCTTGTTGCTGGGCAGGTGGCTCAGGCCTGTAATCCCAGAACTTTAGGAGCTGAGGGGGGCGGATCACCTGAGGTCAGGAGTTCAACACCAGCTTGGCCAACATAGTGAATCCCCATCCCTACTGAAAATACAAAAAAAATTAGCTGGGCGTAGTGATGCAGTTTTTTGCTCCCTGGAGGACTTTGTGTTAAGCTTTCTTCCTTGCAGCTAAATGTTGCAGACATTTAAGCAGTTTGAAACTCTGCATATGGGCAGGAATCAAAGTTAAATCCAAAGTGTAGGGCTGGGCGTAGTGGCTCATGCCTATAATCCCAGCACCTTGGGAGGATCACTTGAGGTCAGGAGTTTGAGACCAGCCTGGCCAACATGCCGAAACCCCGTCTCTACTAACGATACAAAAATTAGCAGGTCGTGGTGGCAGGCGCCTGTGATCCCAGCTATCGGGAGGCTGAGGGTCGAGAATGGCTTGAACTCCAGAGGTGGAAGTTGCAGTGAGCCGAGATTGTGCCACTGCACTCCAACCTCCCCTCCAGGCTGGTCTCGAACTCCTGTGACCTCAGGTGATCTGCCCACCTTAGCCTCCCAAAGTGCTGGGGTTACAGGCGTGAGCCACCATGCCTGGCCAAAATGGTGTTTATGTTAAGCTATTGTGCAAAAAAAAATTTTGTAAAGAAAATACGTCGCTCTATTTTAATTCCATATACTTTCCTGACTACTCTTCTACCGTAAGTGCAAAAATTCTATGATTTCTCTGTATAACATACCCAGCAAATCAGAGTGGGTATATTCAATGGCCTGAAGGGGACTTTAGACTCAAGGTGAAGATTCTCCTCTACATCTGACTTTAGAAAATACTTTCCACCTTTCCTGTGGTTCAGAAATCTAGTTTCACACAGTTCATTTTGAGGTAGAGGGAGGTGTTCAGGATGTGTCTGGATTAGAGCAGCAGTTTCTGCAGATGCTCCTCTCTGTCTTCATTAATTTGCTGATGCTTAACTTAGGGAAGACACACTGAGGGTCTGTTTTTCTTTTGCCCTCACACCGGAGAACAGGCTCATTAGGTCCCTCCACCAAGAGGTTTGGGTAGCATCAATACAAATGTCTTAAACTCACCACCTTTACTAAGCACTTTAAAACAGTGGGAGTCCCACATAAGAATCTGGCGGCCGGGAGCGGTGGCTCATGCCTGTAATTCCAGCACTTCTGAAGGCTGAGGTGGGTGGATCACCTGAAGTCAGGAGTTCGAGACCAGCCTGCCCAACATGGTGAAACCCCGTCTCTACTAAAAATACAAAAATTAGCTGGGTGTGGTGGTGGGCGTGTGTAGTCCCAGCTACTTGTGAGGCTGAGGCAGAATGGCATGAACCTGGGAGGTGGAGCATGCAGTGAGCCAAGATCGGGCTGCTGCACTCCAGCCTGGGGGACAGAGTGAGACTCTGCCTCAAAAAAAAAAGAAAAAAGAAAAAAAAGAAACTTCCCTGAATATTCCAGCCCTCCTGAGCCTAGTCCCTTTGTGAGATTTGTCCCCATTTCTTGGACACCATATAAGAGACTTCAGAGGCTGAAGTGGGAGGATTGCTTGAGCCTGGGAGGTTGAGGATGCAGCGAGCTGTGGTCATACCACTGCACTCTAGCCTGGGCAACAGAGCGAGACCTTGTCTCAAAAACAGCCACCACCAAAAACTATCTTGGGATTTGAATAGGATTACCTTAAATTTGTAGATTAATTTGAGAATTGACATCTGTACGACATTCTAGAACATGGTATTTCATGTCATGTATTCATTTCTTGTTAATGTCTTTCAGAAGAGTTTTAGGGTTTCCATCATATAGATCTTACACGTCTTTTGTTAGATAACAGATCTTTGTATTTTTGTTCCTAAATACTTCAGACATTTGTATTGCCATTGTAAATGGGATCTTTCTTCCATTTTCTAGTTAGTTATTGGTGGTACATCTGAAAAGCATTTGAGGTTTGTGTGCTGCTCTCTTGATTTTGTTTCTAGCCACCGTACTGAATTCTCATATTACTTCCAGTAAAATCTTAGTTGATTCTCTTAGGCTTCTTTGGCTAACATTTATTATTTTATATGCAAATAATGACAGTTTTGTCTCTTCCTTTTCAATACTTACACTCTTTCCTTCCTTTCCTTTCTTTGTTTTTTCTTTCTCAGGGCCTTGTTGTCACCCAGACTGGAGAGCAATGGTGTGATCTAGCTCACTGTAACCTCAAACTCCTGGGCTTAAGGGATCCTCCTGCCTCAGCTTCCAGAGTGGCTGGGACTACAGGCAGGCAGTGAATTTTAAAACTTTCGTTGTAGAGACAAGATCTCGCTATGTTGCCCAGGCTGGTTTTCCTGCCACTTTAGAGCAGGTTTCCTTTTTTTCATACTTTTTTTTTTTTTTTTTTAGTATTTATTGATCATTCTTGGGTGTTTCTCGGAGAGGGGGATTTGTCAGGGTAATAGGACAACAGTGGAGGGAAGGTCAGCAGATAAACATGTGAACAAAGGTCTCGGTTTTCCTAGACAGAGGACCCTGTGGCCTTCCACAGTGTTTGTGTCCCTGGGTACTTGAGATTAGGGAGTGGTGATGACTCTTTTAACGAGCATGCTGCCTTCAAGCATCTGTTTAACAAAGCACATCTTGCACTTTTTCATACTTTTGGGAGTGGAGTTTTTTATTAGGAATTGTCCATTGAATGTTAGCTAAAACAGTCAATAAAATGCATTAAGTGCCAGCTGCATGCAAGACCCTAAGTTAGATACAATCAGCCCTCTTCATCAGCAGGTCCACATCTTCAGATTCAACTAGATGAGGCTGAATATTTGAAGAAAGAAAAAATAAAAATACAAATAGAAAGTACAGTATAACAACTGTTGCCATTATACAATATCTATACATTTTGTTAGTGATGACTTCAAGTACATGGGACCAGGCACGGTGACTCACACTTGTAATCCCAACACTTTGGGAGGCCAACCTGGGCAGCATAGTGAGACCTTGTCTTTAATAAAAATAAAAATAAAAAAATTAGCCAGGTGTGGTGGTATGCACCTGTAGTCCCAGCTACTCAAGAGGCTGAGGTGGGCAGATCACTGGAGCCCAGGAAGTTGAGGCTGCAGTGAGCTGTGATTGTGACACTGTTCTCCAGCCTGAGTGACAGAGGGTGATCCTGTCTCTAAGTAAGTAAATAAATAAAGTATATGGGGGCGGGGGTGTTGGTTATATGCAAACACTGCACCATTATATTTAAGGGATTGAGCATCCACAGATTCTGGTATGGTGTGGGGGCGATATCCTAGAACCAGTCCTCTGCAAGGTAGCAAGGATGACTGAACTGTGGAAGAATCAAAGTACTGTTAAACAGCATATAATGCCTGTCTTCAAAAAAGTTATCTCATCAGGTAGATGAGACTTAAAATGAATAAAAGGAATGAATACACATTGGAGATAGTGGTTGTTGTGATAGATAACCTTAATTGTGTTTTCTTCCAAAACAGGTGAATTCACAGAAAAGGCATCAGAGGAAGATAAAAGACCCATCAGTATCAGGAGCCTGAGCCCAAGTTAAGGCATCTGGATGGCCTGGAGCCATGTTTTAAATATTTTATTATTAACTCTCGGCCTTAGCGCCATTTTCTTGGAAACCTGCACCATGAGAGCCAAGTGGAGGAAGAAGCGAATGCGCAGGCTGAAGCGCAAAAGAAGAAAGATGAGGTAGAGGTCCAAGTAAACCGCTAGCTTGTTGCACTGTGGAGGCCACAGGAGCAGAAACATGGAATGCCAGATGCTGGGGATGCTGGTACAAGTTGTGGGACTGCATGCTACTGTCTAGAGCTTGTCTCAATGGATCTAGAACTTCATCGCCCTCTGATCGCCGATCACCTCTGAGACCCACCTTGCTCATAAACAAAATGCCCATGTTGGTCCTCTGCCCTGGACCTGTGACATTCTGGACTATTTCTGTGTTTATTTGTGGCCGAGTGTAACAACCATATAATAAATCACCTCTTCCGCTGTTTTAGCTGAAGAAAAAAAAAATTTTATAATTAAATATTGATTTTTACTGGTTAAATCAATGAAAACATTCTTTACTTTGTGGTTGTGTTCCTCAAAATGAGGATTTTTAACAATAATAAAAATAAAGCTTGTTAGATCATTTTTAATGGTAATAAATTGGTTCCTGAAGATTTGACTAAAGAGAAAACTAAGCCAATCTAAGCAGAGTCCAAATTTTTGTAAAAATACAGAAATTAGCTGGGTGTGGTGGCAGGTGCCCGTAATCCCAGCTACTCAGGAGGCTGAAGCAGGAGAATCACTTGACCCAGGAGGTGGAGGTTGCCATGAGTTGGAATCGTGCCACTGCGCTCCAGCCTGAGAGGAGAGGCTGTCCAAAAAAAAAAAAAAAAAAATATATATATATATATATATATATATATATACACACACACACACACACACACACACTATAGATATATATATATACACATATATATATATACGCTTTTCTAGTATTAATAAAATTATTTTATAAAAGAAGTCCATTACTAACACACACTTGCATGCAAAGCACAAGACACATCTAAGGGCCGGGCGTAGTGGCTCATGCCTGTAATCCCAGCACTTTGGGAGGCCGAGGCGGGCAGATCACTTGAGGTCAGGAGTTCAAGACCAGACTGGCCAACACAGTGAAACCCCATCTCTACTAAAAATACAAAAATTAGCCAGGCGTACTGGTGGGCACCTGTACTCCCAGTTGCTCAGGAGGCTGAGGCAGGAGAATCGCTTGAGCCCAGGAGGTGGAGGTTGCAGTGAGCCAAGATCCCACCATTGCACGCCAACCTAGGCGACAGCAAGGCTCCGTCTCAAAAAAAACAAAAATAGGACTAAAATTAAGTTGCCAAGAATTTACATGCAGTCCTTTCTACATATAAGACATAAATACCTGACACTTCATTCATTCCCTTCATTCTCCAGCCAGCCTCCCCCGGACAAGTCTGGCAACGATTCTGACCACTGGGCACAAGAAATTACCTCTTTTCAGTTTATGTTAGGACAACCTACATGGGTTTACATTTGGCTTAATATAATACTACCCTACTTCTCCAATAAGTATTTAAGCATTTATTTAAAAAACAGAAACTTTTCAATTTAACCACTTCTACTACCCTAGTCTCTCTGAAAAAGACATGACATGCCTAACTTCAAGGAAAAAAGGGTCCTTTTTCCTCACAAAGATTTCCTTATAAACTTTGTTTTTTAAATGCTTTTAAAACCAGATTCTAATTTAATTAATATAGATTTGCAAAACTATGAAGAAAAAGCCTTGCCGGTTGTTGCTTCGCTTAATTTCACGATTTAGGAAATTGCAACTACGTATTTAATACAAAGCAGCCTTGGGGAGCGCGGGGGGTGGGGGGCGCGTGGTGGGGTGGTGATTGTGTTTAACAAAATGCATCTCAGCACCAGCCTAGAGAAACTTTTCTGTGTGAAAACAGAAGAGGGGTTACCATGGAGAAATTCATTACGGATTTCGGGAGGGCTTTTTCCTCAGAAATAGAGAGAAAAGTGAAAGTCATTGTGTAAGAAATCTGATACTGATGCTGTGTGACTCAGAAGTTGTCCAAAAGTTCATCTTCGGCAATTATGTCTAGATGATCAACTACACATCTTCTGCAACAGGTGACACGAAACTGCATTTCCCAAGCAAGACAAAGTGATCAAATGAGTTAAGACGCACTTTCCTGCGGTCGTGTACTTGTATTTTTGATTTAACCAAAACAATTTTGAATCGGATGAATTACCAAATTTGGTTGGGTCTTGTTCGGCTTTCTGTGCTTTTTAATCAGCCATTTACCAGCAACTGTTGCACGGGCCCATCAGCACTAGAAGAATAAAAACAAACACACAGGACCAGGTAAGGTTCCCCTACTAACCCAAATGATCCGTTTCCTTAACACAATTTAAAAACCACAGCCAGGGGTGTGAAAACAGGCAAGTTTTTCCGTGTGTCTGTGTGCCACAATCCATCCAAATCCTTAATTCTCTTTTAAGGAACAGATATACAATAAAAATCCGAAAGAAACCTCATTAGAAATGCAAAGAGGTTTGCAAAACAAGAGGCTTCTTTCATTCCAGAAAACCACACCAAAACAAGGGGAGAAAAATGAATGCAATGGATATGTTTGCCAAAGTTTCAATCCTGCCCGGTGCAGACACTGCACTGGCACAAATTTTTTGAAGAGGAAAAAGGGGTTGGTTGGTGGGGGAGAGACAGTGAGCGAGTGTGGCCTGCAAACTGCAACAATGCAATCTCCATTTTGAACAATGCACCTCTTTCCTCTTGTAAATCTAGTATTTTTGCCACCTGATGTGTCCTCGTATTTCCCGTTTCAGGGGTCGGCGGGGTTGGGAGGAGATCGGAGCAGGATGCACAGCACAGGATTGAGCAAGGGGGGAGGACAGAGGAGATAGGGAAGGAATCTGCAGCAACTGGGCTGGGTGGGTACTTGGAGTGCTACTGTAGGCAGATCCCCTGAGGTCAGGAGTTCGAGACCAGCCTGGATAACATGGTGAAACCCCGTCTCTATTAAAAATACAAAAATTAGCTGGGCGTGGTGGCACTTGCCTGTAATCCCAGCTATTCCAGAGGCTGAGGCTGGAGAATCGCTTAAACCAGGGAGACGGAGGTTGCAGTGAGCCAAGATCACGCCACTGCACTCCAGCCTGGGCGACAAGAGTGAAACTCCGTCTAAAAACAAACAAACAAACAAAAAATCAAGATGGTTACCTTCTTTTCTTTTTTTTTTTTTTGAGACGGAGTCTCGCTCTTTCACCAGGCTGGAGTGCAGTGGCGCCATCTCGGCTCACTGCAACCTCTGCCTCCCAGGTTCAAGTGATTCTCCTGCCTCAGCCTCCCAAGTAGCTGGGACTACAGGCACGTGCCACCACACCCGGCTAATTTTTGTATTTTAACTAGAGACTGGGTTTCACCATGTTGGCCAGGATGGTCTTGATCTCTTAACCTCGTGATCCTCCCGCCTCAGCCTCCCAAAGTGCTGGGATTACAGGCCTGAGCCACCATGCCCGGGCAAGGCCGCTACTTTCTATCAACTCTGTATCATAATTCATTTAATGCAAAAGAGGCAAATCACTATAGAAATGTAATAATCTTAATATTTTTACAAAGATATTGGCAGAGGTTGAAGGGCTCTAAAAAAAAAGGAAAATAAAGAGTTGCTAGGGTTTTTTTCCCCATGATTACAATTACAGTACAGTAATGTATGGCAAGTTTAGAACAATAAGTCTTATTACTCCTGGTACTCTCTCAATATTGATTAGTTAATTCATCCTAAATTTCCTTTTTTTTTTTTTTTTTTTCTGAGACAGAGTCTCGCTCTGTCGCCCAGGCTGGAGTGCAGTGGCGCGATCTCGGCTCACTGCAACCTCTGCCTGCCGGTTTCAAACAATGCTCCTTCCTCAGCCTCCCGAGTAGCTGGGACTACAGGCATGCGCCACGATGCCCGGCTAATTTTTTGTATTTTTTTAAGTAGAGACGGGGTTTTACCACGCAGGCTGTTCTCAAACTCCTGACCTCGTGATCCGCCCACCTTGGGCTCCCAAAGTGCTGGGATTACAGGCGTGAGCCACTGCGCCTGGCCCTAAATTTCCTTTTCAAAAATACCATAATCTACCTCACATCTGTAAAAGAGCTAACAGACATATCTGGAAGCTAAAGTGATCTAAAAACAATTATAGTGATTTTTAACAGTTTAAACAAAATGAGTAAATATCATAATAACCTGGGTATAAAATTTTGTATAAAAAATAATTGGAGTTAAAATTTAACCATTTATACACTTAAATGGATGCAATTTATTACATGTAAGTTATATCTCATTGATATTAATTAAAAATACTTTGAATGTTAAAAATAAAATCAGAAAAGAGTCAGAACTAGTATCAAAGAGACCAATGATAAAAATCATGACTTTAGAATCAAGACAGGTTTGTGTGTTTTGGCTCTGCCACTTACTATGTGGCCTTAGGCAAATTACTTAACTTCTGTAACTCTTAGTTTTTGAGGGTAACAATAGTAGTAGCGATAGAAATAATAGTAGCTAATTATTTATGAAGCACTTATTTTATGAAAGACACTGTACTAAAGTGCTTTACCTGAATTATTTCATTTAATCCTCTCAACAGTTTATGGAGTATGTACTATTATCACTCATACTGTTTTGTAAATAAATATAAACCAAAGCCCATGGAAGTTAAATAAATCAAGGTCATAAAGCCAGTACACAGAAGAGTAAAGCTTAGAATTCAGGTGGTCTGATTTCAGTAGCATGGCTATATACTGCCTTCCAATATGCTATGAGAATTAAATGATATGTACGTAAAGTGTTTATAACATTATCTGACATATACATGCTCAATTAAATGTTACTGTTATGTTAATTACTATTACACAAATTATCCATCACATCCCTCTTAAATACAGCAATGTTTCTAATTTAGCACTTGCATGGCCTGTTTTGAATAATCCACCAACTTTTTTTTAACTAGATAATATTTACAAGAGAGTTATATTTGTCAAGAAATTTCATTTGTCTCCTAGTCAAAACTCTTAATAACCAAATTTAACACACCTAATTTATGGCTTATTTTATAAATTTGTTGTGACAGGATCTTCCATCAATTTTACCATTAGAAGGAATACCTACATTCAATATACAGTAAACACCATTTAATACACAATAAACACCAATTTATTTCTAGCCATTTAAGGATATTATCTATATAATTCTCTAATGATTTCAGTGATGTTACCTTACTTGTCTGGTAAATCATTATCAAATAAATGACTGCAGTCCATAACTTGTCTTCCTGTACCAATTTGGTCTCTGGACTGAAGACTTACTATTAAATGATAGAAATATTACTAAGATTCATACAACTAGAAAGAATTATTATAATCAAAAATTTCTATCTTTAGAAGACATCTGGCTTAGCTTATTTTAATACTTTAGAATGACCTCTTTGGTTTCTACTAAAATTTATAATTTCTTTTCCCATAGATTTTTCCCTTTAGGAGTAGTATTAGAATTCTAAAGTTTTCTACACTTCATCATGTTCATGGAAGAAGCCTAATTCCTTCTTTACCATAGTAACAGGGCATAGCAGAGTCACTACTGTACTTAAGAAGAGGCATAACATATTAAGAATATATTCATGTACAAAGGAGTTTGAAAAGTCCACATTAAGTTTAATACTTGATAATCTCACCATCTAAAAAATACACTGGGCCGGGCATGGTGGCTCACGCCTGTAATCCCAGCACTTTGGGAGGCCAAGGTGGGTGGATAACAAGGTCAGGAGATCGAGACCATCCTGGCCAACATGGTGAAACCCCATCTCTGCTAAAATACAAAAAGTAGCCAGGCATGGTAGCCTGTGCCTGTAGTCCAAGCTACTGGGGAGGCTGAGGCAGGGGAATCACCTGAACCTGGGAGGCAGAGGTTGCAGTGAGCTGCAATTGCACCACTGCACTCCGGCCTGGTGAAAGAGCGAGACTCCGTCTCAAAAAAAGAAAAAAAATACACTGTATTCTAGAGCAAGAGGGCCATCCTGGTATTCCAGCAAGAGAGCAATCCTTGGATTCCATGAGTTTTAACAGGACACCATTATCCAGTGTAGTATATAAAACCACCACAAAAAATGAAGAAGCAAGAGATGTGAATTCTAGAGCAAGCTCTAGTAACCAGTTTAGCACTGTAAACTTGAACAAAACACTTAATAAGCAAGGTTTAGATAATCCCCATCTGAATAATGAGAAAGTTAGCTTAATTGATATCACTGAAGTCCTTCTTTGCTGCTCCAGTATTGTTTAATTCTAATTCTAGTAACTCTCCCAAAAGACAGAAAGAAGTACAGTCAAACTTGACTATAATCCAACTTCTTAAATAATAGGTTAGCACAAAAAGTATTATTACATCTAATGACCCTTCATTCAAAGAAGGGTCTCAAAATTCTGAAATCTTCCAGTTCTGTGAACATTTTGAAAGATCAGTTCAACATAGAGCTCCTTTACATTAAGTCCCATTTAGAGGACAGAACACTACAAACACCTACTCAGCAAATGTAAACAAAACATTATTATGAAAACTGTGCTAGACAACTATATCCATCAGTTTTTAAATAGATAAAATAAGTGAAATGCTTATCAAAATACAATCACAGTAGAAACAATGTATTTTCTCGTTAGCTTTGTTTAGAATAATAGTAAGATTCAAAACTAAAGAATTTCATGGGCTTCAATTTACATCTCCAGAATGCTGTGTTAATAGCAGAGCTATTAACTGGTTAAATGAATTACATACCCACCATGGACTACCACACAACATTAAAAATGCTATAGATTTTGCAAGCCTTAATGCAAAGTAGGAAAAAAAAAGGAACAATGCTATAGAAATGTATTTATGGGCCAAAAAAACAAAGATGTTTATGATAAATTTAAACCAGTTTTTAAAAATTCAGTATAATCTCATTTTTTAAAAAAATACATAGAAAAAGTACACATCCAAGTGATAACGATGCCAATACAGTAGATTTCCCGTGCTCAAATGATCCTCCCACCTCAGCCTCCCAATGTAGCTGGGACATCACAGTTTTAAACAAGGAAAAAAGTTTGTACTCCTTGAATCAATTATCTCAACTTGGGAGATTTTTTTTTCATACAGCAATGATTCTAAAAAAGAAAAAAGCAAAGTGTACAAAAATGTTTGCAAGTTTCAATGTTATAATAGCAAAAAAAATTTTTAATTATTAAGTTGTGATATATCTATATACTTCATCCTTTAAAAATCATTAAATATGGCTGGACATGGTGGCTTACACCTGTAATCCCAGCACTTTGGGAGGCTGAGGTGGGCAAATCACCTGAGTTCGGGAGTTGGAGACCAGCCTGACCAACATGGAGAAACCTTGTCTCTACTAAAAATACAAAAAAAAATTAGCCAGGCGTCGGGGCGCATGCCTCTAATCCCATCTACTTGAGAGGCTGAGGCAGGAGAATCTCTGGAACCTGGGAGGTGGAGGTTGCAGTGAGCCAAGATCGCACCATTGTACTCCAGCCTGGGCAACAAGAGTGAAACTCCGTCTCAAAAAAAAAAAAAAAAAAAAAAAAAAAAATATATATATATATATATATATATATATATATCATTAATTACAAAGATTATAAATACTAAAAACGATTATGGTAAGTGAAAGAAAGCAAAGTAGAAATTTAATCTTCACTGGAATTAAAGACATAAATATATACATTTTATATACATATTTATGTATATAAAGACACTAGAGGGGAATATAGTTTTTAAAGTTAGTCCTCTAGTGTTCTTTTCTCCATTTTCCAAAAAGTATATATACCTACTTACAATTATTTGTTAGAGGGCTAATTCTGAAAGAACTGGAACTCATTCTGTTTTTGAATGACAGAACTAAAGAATCATAATGTTTGAGTCCAGCCTCCCTCTCTCTTATTAATGGTCCTATTATGAACAGCAGATTCACACAAGAGCTTTAAATAAATACATATATATACACATATACACATATTTAAGAGTAAAACATTTGTTTTCTATGTAGTATACTCCAGTAGGTATATTTCTTTTTTCTTTTTTTTCTTTTTTTTTTCTGAGATGGAGTTTCACTCTTGTTGCCCAGGCTGGAGTGCAATGGCATGATCTCGGCTCACCGCCACCTCCGCCTCCCAGGTTCAAGTGATTCTTCTGCCTCAGCATCCTGTGTAGCTGGGATTACAGGCATGTGCCACCACGCCCAGTTAATTTTGTATTTTCAGTAGAGATGGGGTTTCTCCATGTTGGTCAAGCTGGTCTTGAACTCCCGACCTCAGGTGATCTACCCACTTTGGCCTCCCAAAGTGCTGGGATTACAGGTGTCAGCCACCGTACCTGACCTCCAGTAGGTATATTTCTAATGTCTAACAAAGTCTGCTATTTATATAAATGCAAATTCACATCTAGTAAAACTATTTTGTTACTACTAGACAGTAGTTGGCAAGCATTATGTAACATAATAAATCAAATACAGAAGGAACACTTATATGTGAAAGTACTGTTATGACTGAATTGATTTTTGAGATTTTTTTTGTTTTTGCTTCCTTCTCAATCTAAGGATGACAGGAATTATCAGTAATGCTGTAGTGTAGATAAGGGATCCCCAACTCCCAGGCCATGGATGGATGGGGTATTGGTCCAGGGTCTGTTAGGAACCAGGCCGCACAGCAGGAGTGAGTAGTGGGTGAGTAAGCATTACCGCCTGAGCTCCGCCTCCTGTCAGATCAGTGGTGACATTAGATTCTCATAGGAGCACAAACCCTACTGTGAACCACACACACAAGGGATCTAGGTTGCCTGCTCCTTATGAGAATCTAATGCCTGATGATCTGTCACTGTCTCCCATCACCCACAGATGGGACCATCTAGTTGCAGGAAAACAAGCTCAGGGCTCCCACTGATTCTACCTTATGGTGAGTTGTATAATTAGTTCATTATATATTACAATGTAATAATAATAAAGTGCACAATAAATGTAATGCATTTGAATCATCCTGAAACCAACTCCACCCCAGCCTGGTCTATGGAAAAACTGTCTTCCGTGAAACCGGTGCCTGGTGCCAAAAAGGTCGGGGAGTGCTGGTGTAGATACTTCCCTAAGATAACCAGAGTAGGGCTTTGCTATGTGGCTACCCTGGTAGTTCTCCATGAACCCAATTCACTGCCTTGTGAAATGAAGTCCTTCAAGTACCTTCGGTAATTAAAACCTCTATGATGGGTTCATAACAAAATAGTCTTATTCTAAGTTCTGCTTCATCATGAAGTGTGACAGTCTTATTGGATTTTTCTTTTTTCTTTTCTTTTTTTTTTTTTTTTTTTTTGAGACAGGGGCTTGCTCTTGTCACCCAGCTGGAGTGCAATGGTGTGATCTCGGCTCACTGCAACCTCCGCCTCCTGGGTTCAAGCGATTCTCCTGCCTCAGCCTCCAGAGTAGCTGGGATTACAGGTACTCATCACTATTCCCAGCAAATTTTTTGTATTTTTAGTAGAGATGGGGTTTCACTATGCTTGCCAGGCTGGTCTCGAACTCCTGACCTCAGGTGATCCACCTGCCTCAGCCTCCCAAAGTGCTGGGATTACAGGCATGAGCCACTGTGCCCGGCAACATTTTTCTTCTTTAATTTAAGAAGCCTCCAAGATGAACAGTGTCCTTCCATACTATGCATCTTGATCAAATCTCTATCAATTCTTAAGAAAGGTCTCAGCAAATTTTATGTGAAGCCTTTCCCTCCAGGTCAATTCAAGACACCTAAATACCATATAAGGCTACTAAGTGCCTCATGAGTAAGGTAACAATTTCTCCCTTTTTCCAGTGTTACACTAACATTGCTCATTCTGTTTTTTTCAATTGGCATAGATTTTAAAGCTGTAAAGCATTAAACATTAAAACAAGTTCAATAGAATGTTGTCTTCTTACTAAAAAAACTAGTTTGAGAATTATTTTCAGTAAACTTTAATAACATCTATAAAGTCTGAACTCAGTGCTCTACTATGTTAGGATACTTTGAAAAAATTATTTCCTAAAGGATCAACAGTTCTTCATGACACTTTTTTTTTACATTAAAGTTTTAAAAATTAAGTTAACCTGGATCCTGGATTCACTGTAACATTTTACCTGATTCATTTAATTCAGGCCAACACTATGAAGCTACAGTTAACATACTTTGATTTAAATGGTATTTAGACTTTAGGTCAGTTTGAATGAAACCAAAATTCATGTAACTTTAAATTCACACTTACTTACCGTCTTCTAACTGTCCTTTGGCCCAGGTTTGCATAAATCCAACCTCTGATCTATTTGAAATCAACAAAGAAAGAAATGAAAACATTAGCTGGTATCAGAGATTCTCATGTCTATAGAGTGACAATAAATTTCCACAATCCATTAGAAATCAAACCTATCATTTAAAGAATTCAGATTTCAAAAACTACGAAACACTGGTGTACTTCATTGCCAACATGCAGTCACTTTCTCTCCAAAACTTTTAGACCACTTTAGTCTGTCTTAATAGTTGTTGGTCTTAAGGAATTTATCCGTGAGCCTTGGTTTTCTCATATATGGCAATATGTGAATCCTCATATTTTTTAAGGATTAAATCAGATAATTATGCAAAACTCACAGCATAGTGCCTGGCACATGAATGGTCAACAAATGTTAGCTGTCATTATTATTTTTTAACTAACCATTTCAAATGACATGCACACAAAAAAGTATTAATAAGAAGCCAAGAATAAACTGTAGAATCTGGGTTTGCATCAGTTCTGCCACTAATTCATTCAGGAGCAACTCATTTATTCTCTCAGATGCCTCATCTGTAAAAGAGATATAACACTGGCCTGACCCTGAAAGTTACAGTAAGGAACAATGTCACCCAAAGCATGCTGGTTTTACTTTGATTACAGTACTTACAGCTGAATAATTTTACAACCGTATGCCATCTGTCTACTTATTTGTGAATTGATAAAAGGAGGAGACCATATCGTAGTCTTTGTATTTTCCACTCCAACCCAGTAGAACATTGCATCAGGTAGGTGCTCAATAAATATTTGATAAATTCAATATTACTGCACATGAAAAAAGTCAAATAAATTAATACAATGAAACAGTCACAAGAAACACAAAGAAAAATCCATGCCCCTAAACTACAGTCCCTGGTTATCCAACCAAAAATACAGACACTTTTCTCTTTGCAAAATAAATGGGTGCTGCTAAGTTGGCTACACAGTGGATTCTGCAGAGCAACTCCTCTCCTATTCAGTCCTTCCCATGCGGCATGCTCCCTTTGCCAGCAGGCCTTTGCCCTTCCTTCTCAGAGGACAGGGTTCATGCCTCTTTCTCCTTTATACAGCCAGGGTTTAGAACAGTAGCACATTAAGTCTTCAATAAACATTGGCTAAATTGAACTAGGGATAATGTCAGACGTTTGACCTATAATTTTTCAGTTTGCTGAGTAAGAAAACAGTTCATTTTTATGTGCAACTTGTTTTTTCCAATCCCACTGTCCTTTCTCTCCTGTTGGTTACCCCGTCAGCCCAGAAATACAAGAACTTCTCAGATGCCTTTAAATACCTTGGACTAAGAACTTCTAGCTCAGTTTTCTGCCTTTTTCTTTTTCACAAGGTCAATATATACCTATGCTGTGGTATCATACTACATTAAAAGAGACAATCTCTTAATATATTTAACATTCAATGCTAAATTTACTCCTTTTCTGTTTATTAATTTCTTTAGCTCTTATGTGAGTTTGTTTAGCATATGCATCTGGGCTAAAATCCCATTACAAAGACTAACAGTATTTTTTACATTATATACACAAGAATTCTATAGAAACAAACACACACACAGAAAACCTGTTGAAAAAGGAATTCCCATTTATGTTCCAATGGAAAGACCCACCCAAAAGACCGTCACCTGGTTATGCTAAGTCACCTTATAAATCCATTATGAAAACCACTTCTAATGTCTTGATCTTGGTCTAATCTTCTAAACGCCCAGGTTGATGATAAACTGAGCTACAGTTAAGTAGTTCATAGAGCCGTCATACACTCAAAATAATGTTTAATCTTTCTTTAACTTTTAATTTTGTCACAGCAGTTTTATATATTATACCATTCTTATCCCTTCGTAATTGCTCTTTAACTGCCACCTTAAAGACCCCAATCACCTAAATAAAAACATGTTGTCCACAAATCCACCACAACCAGAAAAGGGTACTAAGAAATTTTAAAAGGTATGTAAATCCTGACACCTTTTTTTTTTGCCATTCTAGATATCAATCATTTCTTAATACTTTTAAATTAACTGGAAATGAAGCATCAGCTCTCATTTAGCTGTAAGTTTCACATATTTAAAACGTTTCATTTTTTTTAAGTCTACAAAATAAATTTAGACCAGGAATTTTTACCAATGTTTCAGACATACACAAGAAGTTATGTTTGAACCCCTACCAACATACTCAAATATATATATCCTTCATATATATTTGAGAATACATATATACTACATGTATATATGTATATGCACACATACATATACACACACACATATGTATATGCACACATACATACACACACACACACACACACACATATATATATAAAATTTGAAAAGCAGTAGTATCTACTCACAACCAGTGTCTTTGAGGTGGTTGATGGCACTGGAAAAAGATGAACACAACGGAGAAATCCAGCACCTTGTTTCTTATGGATCTTCTTGTGATTCCATACACTGATTGTAACTGAATCAGACTTTTCAATATACCTAAAAATGAAAACGGCTACATGAGTATGTTGGTAGTTATAAGGCAGTGGGCGTAAAATTTTTCTTTTGTTCTTTTTATACCCTAAAGTTAAAATTTGCTTCAGAGCCTGGCTAGATTATGCAAAATACATGACTTAATCCACAGGATTGAATATAAATTTTTTAAAAATCTTGAAAGTAAAATTTTTAAAAACAATTTTAGTATATTTTTATCACATCTGCCACTCTCAAGCTGGGCTATAATTCTAGTTAGTAAAAAGGCTATTTTAGTAGCTAGTGTCTAATAACACTAAGGGAGTTTATTAAATAACTTCTTTCCAAGAAAAAGAATCTTCAAAACTTTTATCACGGCCGGGCACAATGGCTCACGCCTGTAATCCCAGCACTTTGGGAGGCTGAGGCGGGCGGATCACAAGGTCACGAGATCAAGACCATCCTGGCTAACACGGTGAAATCCCGTCTCTACTAAAAAAAAAAAAAAAAAAAAAAAATTAGCCGGGCATGGAGGCGGGCACCTGTTGTCTCAGCTACTCAGAAGGCTGAGGCAGGAGAATGGCGTGAACCCGAGAGGCGGAGCTTGCAGTGAACCGAGATCACGCCACTGTACTCCAGCCTGGGAGACAGAGCAAGACTCCGTCTCAAAAAAAAAAAAAAAAAATTTTACCACAGTCACATTTTAAATACATTTCAATGACATGACCTACTTTTCAACGGATAGTGTCAAGGCTGACAGACCAAAAATCTGACCTGTTATATTTTAAAATGCTGTAGAACAAAAGCTGTTTGTAACGCTTTTCCCCTGCTTCTTTCCTGTATGCAGGCCTTGAGCGAGCAGGACTCTTGCAGATTTCACTTCACCTCCTGCAGACAAGCAGTGCAGGGAAAAGCATTACTGTACTTGTCTGTGGATATACCTGCAAGTACGTAAAGGCTCTACCACAGCCAATTGTTAACATGGCATCAACCCATGCAAAAAGATAATATAATAACATAATCATGTCAGCAGAATCCTAGCTCTATTTCAATGACATTAAGAGGTCAAAGTTTTAGTCTAAAGTATTGCTAATTCAATAAATTAGCAATATCAGAAAAATTCACCTAGTATAGAGAAAAGACTAAACCACTTAAGTAACGACTAAAGCTTTCAAATAAGGAACATGGAAGGTACACTTGAGCCCCGGGATCCAGCTGTGCCTAAAAAATGGCCACCCCTAAGCTTTTCATTATGCAAATCAGTACATTCCCTTTTTAAAAATTAAGCCGATTTGAACTTGGTCTCTGTTGCTTGCAAATGAAAAGATATGAACTGAAATATTGTTCAGTACGCATGTACCAATTTCCAAATACACGTACCCGATCCATCTTGGTATATATCTACTGGCATGTAATTCCAGAGCCAGAATCCAGTATTAAGTAGCTGAATTACCCAAACCAAACATTTTTTTAAAAGTCCATTAAACCAGTTGTCCAACTAGTAAGCCTGGTTTACAGGTATGCTGAAATACATATATTGATTACCTCAGTCCTCAGGGCAATGCACCACTGGCTTAAGCAACTTCACCTGTTTAGTCCAGTGTGCCATAATATTTTTTATGTGTACCATGATATGAAAAGGTTGGGAAGCTCTACATTAAACCGTAATGAGAAATTGCTAATTATGGACCTTCTGGAAGACAGCCTAACTCTGAATTACTCAAAATTATGAAATATATTGTATTACTTAAGTGTACATGTCACAAACATTCTGTCCAAATATTCCTGGGCCAGAAATTAATCAGAAATATTACCTTTTCTTATACACAGAGAAGTACATGCTCTCACTTTAATGAAACCTCATGTAATATAACATAATGGCCACATAAAAGAAAAAGTAAAGACTTTTATAATTGAAAGTTAAACAGAGGGCTCTATCAGCTTCTATTAAAACTTTGACTTCACTAACAAATACATGATTTATAAACAAGTTTCAGGATGTTTTGTTGAGAGGGGTAGATGGTAACCTCTATGGGTGATATAATGTTACCATATAGACAAAAGTATAATATACATACTCAGGATTTGGGGCTAAAATTTAATTATTAGACTTTTGTTTGTACACTTAGCCAATTAAAGGCAAGGATTTTGCAAAACGACCTCAGACACAAGCAAGAGAGAAGCCTCTGGTAGCCAATTAATATTAACTGTAAGATAAAACATAACGAGCACATGCAAAGATGCTCAACATCATTAGTCATGAGGGAAATGCACTTCCAAACCATGACGAGGTACAACTTCATACACACTAGGGGGGCTACAATTTTTTTAAAGGAAAATAACAAGCGACAGACGAATAAAGAAACTTCCAGTGGAAAACAACAGTCATGACAGACCAAAATCAGGATGCCATCAGCAATACTCTGAACCTACACTGTCCAAAATGGTATCCACCAACCACATGGGACCTTTGAGTACTTCAAATGTGGCTAGTCCACATTGAGGCAAGCTGCAAAAGAAACCACTGATTTTTCTTAACATAAAATGAGAAAACCACTGATTTTTCAAAGACATAGTAAATATGTATATATACATAAATAAGTAGCTCAATATTTTTATACTACCATGTTGAAAATATTTTTGATATATTGAATTAAATAACATATATTATGCTTAATTTTCAGCATAATAAATTATGCTTATTATGCATAATATAACTATATTGTATTACGGGTCTTGCTATGTTGCCCAGTGTGGTCACAGACTCCTGGCCTCAAGTTATCCTCCCATCTCAGCCTCCCGAGTAGCTGGATTACAGGTGCAAGCCACCATGCCCAGTTTATTATGCTTAATGTCATCTGTTTCTTTTTACTTATCTTAATGTGGATACTAGGAAATTTAAAATTACAGATGAACTCCCATTTGTGGCTTACATTATATTTCTACTCAACAGTACAAATCTAAACCTAGAAGATAATGGAGCAATGTATTCAACATTTGGAGATAAAGTGCTATTTCATCTAGAAGCCTGTACTCAAACCATACCAACAGATAAGAAACCAAAATATATTTTCTGATAAGATCTCAACTTTCTCCCCATCTTTGTATTATTTCTCAAAATGACAACAGAAGATAGGGTTCACCAAATCAAGAGAGTCACTAAATCTAGAAGAGACAAAGGAAATTGCCAACATAACAATAAAGGCAAGTCCCAGGACAACTGCACAGCAGGTCTTAGAGAACCATCACACCAGACTGAAGAAAGAGAACACAGACCCCCAGGAGGGGTATCTCCAAGAAGAAACAAAGCCAATGGAATACTGACAGAATTGAATATATGGAGAAAAGATCTTTAGTTCTGTAGGAGAGTTTGAGGATTATGACATGTAATTTCTCATTTCTAGCTAGGAGATAAATAGAAAACTAAACAAAAGGGAAAAGTAGCTACTAACTTCAGAAAAAACAAAAGCTGTCAAGAAAGAAAATATAATTCTTGTACCCATGTGACCCAACTATGGATATTTACATAATCATAATAATGTAAACATGGAACAATGGTTTAATCAAAAAGGTTCCTATAATTATATTGGAAGATTAAAGAAAGGAAGGGGCTTGTGAGTGTCATGGGAATGGGGATGACGAATACCAATTTTAAAAGCTGAACCACTGGGCTGGGCATCATACCCCATGCCTGTAATCCAAATACTTTGGGAGGCAAAGGAGGGAGAATCACTTGGGCCCAGGAATTCAAAACCAGACTGGGCAATATAGGAAGACCCCATCTCTACAGAAAATTACCAAAAAAAAAAAAAAAATTAGTTTGGCATGGTGGCATGCACCTGTAGTTACAGCTACTCAGGAGGGTGAGGTGGGAGGATCCGTTGAGTCCAGGAGTTTGAGGCTGCAGTGAGCTATGATTATGCCACTGCACTCCAGCCTGAGCAACAGAGTGAGACTGTCTCTAATTTTAAAAGAATTTTTAATAAAAAATAAAGCTGAATTATCTTCTATGTAGGAAATTCGAAAATATCTAAAACTAGGCTGGGCGCAGTGGCTCACATCTGTAATCCTAGCACTTTCGGAGGCCGAGTCAGGCAGATCACTTGAGGTCAGGGGTTCGAGACGAGCCTAGCCAACATGGTGAAATTCTGTCTCTACTAAAAGTACAAAAATTAGCTGGGCATGGTGGTGGGCACCTGCATTCCCAGCTACTCGGGAGGCTGAGGCAGGAGAATTGCTTGAACCCAAGAGGCAGAGATTGCAGTGAGCCAAGATGGTGCCACTACACTCCAGCCTGGGTGACAGTGCAAGACTCTGTCTCAAAAAAAAAAAAAAAAATTACATAAAACTGAAAAAAGAAAACTGTGATGGTATAAAATAAGGAACATATCTAGAAACAGATGAAAATACCAGAATAAACAGCCAAAGTTATTAGAGCAGTTGCCTTGAGGATGGGAATCAGGAATGAGAAAGGACCAGGGACCTTGCTGTTTTCCATAAAACCTTTATAGTATCATTTGCCTTTTTTAAATGGTGCATATACTCCTATGATTAAAATAAAATTTAAAAGAAAGAAACCCTCTACATAAAGGCAAAAAGAATGCCTATTCAGTGTAATCAAAATTCTGATTTCTGGTTTTATAATTGGTCTAAAGTGGTGAATTAATACCTTTATTTAATTGAAAAAAGTTGGGGGGACTGCTCTACTGTGAGCCAGTTTCATTTTGTTCTTCATAGAATTTTAGGGATACCTCATCTTTCAAAACCTGTCTATAAACCAAAGCACATTCCCACTGGGCTTTTCTTTACACCTTTTGTGAAGACCAAATTATAGCATAGATGAAACTCAGATCATTTCCCACGATTCTTTTCAAAGACTATATCAAGTAATATTAATTATATGTTTCATTTCAAACTAATCGTTTAAACCTACAGGTCATAATGCTGATTCCACTTTGGATCGAGCATATTCTTCACAGTATCTATAGAATGGCATTGCCCAGATCCATCAACCACCACCTTAGCAAATGGATCAGGAAGTCCTGTGAAAAAGATTTTTGAAATTAATAATTTGACATGTGAGATAGATTATACAAACATTCCATTTGCTACAAAAGATTATTCCATTATTTTTAAAAAAGTTTAACAGCTATAAATGAATATTCCATTTTTTTAAAAAAGACTAAAAGTTACTTCTATATAAAACACCAAAACTATACTTGTCTCGTTTCTGCCTCAAAATGTTCCCAGTTTAAACTACCAAAATCTAGAGACTAATTCATAAGGTGGAAGTTTTTGTAAGTTGTTACCAGCCCTCTGACCCCAGGAAGGTGAATTCTTGTAACCATTCATGGCTTTTTCTTTCCAAATGTCTCCCTCAGTAGCTCATTTAAAGGAGAGCTTATTAGAGGTTTTTATACAGGAACACAGGCTACAGAGAAATCAAATTAGAAAATGGGTTTTGCTGAATAACTACCAAGAAAAATGAGACCGAAACAAAAGATGTAACACTCTGGCTTAAAAGAGCTTACTATCTAAGTGGAAAGATTAAAAAATACTATACGCAAAACAAAAACAAAAACCAGAAACAAAAATACCTGAGAATAAACAAGTGCTTAGTGATACTGATTATAATGTAAACGCATATCACTATGTTAGGTACTATTCTAAATACTTTACATTCATCCTTAATCCTTACAATAACCCTCTAAGGTAGATATTATTATTTTCCCTATTTTACTGATGAGGAAACTAAGGCACAAGGGGGTCAATTAAGTAGCCCAAGGTCACACAGTAGTAAGTGGCAGAGCCAGGGTCTAAAGTATAGATGCTAAACCCATCTGGCTCTCGACTTCATGATCTTAACCACTATGCTGGATTTTACCTCTCATTTACTACATGGTTCAACAGTGAGTACAAGTAAGAGCTCAGAAAATCAGGAGAACAACTTGAATCTGAACAGTAAAGAAAGGGCTTTAGGGGAGAGGGGAACTCATCTGGGCTTTAAAGCAGGGGTCTCCAACCCCTGGACCATGGGCCGGTACAAGTTTGTGGCCTGTTACAACCGGGCCACACAGCAGGAGGTGAGCAGCAGGAGAGCAAGCATTATGGCCTGAGCTCCACCTTCTGTCAGATCAGCAGCAGCATTAGATGCTCATAGGAGCTGGAACCCTATTGTGAACTGCGCGTGCAAGGGATCTAGGTTGTGCGCTCCTTACAAGAATCTAATGCCTGATGATCTGAGATGGAACAGTTTCATCCCAACACATCCCCTGCTCCCCACATCCTTGGAAAAACTGTCTTGCACAAAACCAGTCCCTGTGCCAAAAAGGTTGGGGACTGCTGCTTTAAATACATACAGGAAAAGGAGGACTTTCCTAGCAATGGAAGAGCGCCAACGAGGGTATGACAATGTAGTATTTAAAAGACTTTGAAGAGTCTAACCAAAGAGTTTGTGCTAAGGTGTAAAAGTAAATACTGTTGGAAATATGCATGAGCCAGTAAGAGGAGCTTAGAAGTCAGACAATAGGGCTTGGACTGATTGAGGTAGATAACAGGGAGCCATTTCAGGTTCTTGAGCATGGCTGTAATTACAGTCATATTTTCCTATCAGTGGTATTCAGGGCCCACTAGGAGAAAGAAAGATTAGAGGCGACCATATATGAAGCTGTTGTAATCATCCAACAGTAGGATGAAAAGACCCTGAACGAGGAAAGTCATATGGAAAGGGAAAGGAAATGAAAATTAAGAGAGCTATTCTGAAAGATCTAATACAAATCAATAAGAAACTTGTATCAAAGATGACAATACAGTTTTCGGCCCAAAGCCATAATGAAAATGATTTTTTTGACAAAAATTTAAAAGGTGGAACTAAAAATGTTAGACAAAAATGACACTTCACATGTTAGACATATTGGAATACAGTAGATTTCCTGTGGACAGCTGAAAATAGTACAACAAAACAGTGTTAAGTGTTGGTGACTGGAGAAATTTTGCATGTTGGTATCAATGCTAATTTTTTTAAGATACTAATTTGCCAAGGTTCAAGGACAGACAAATCACCTATCAGTTCCCCAATTCTATGATTCTGTGATCTATCACCTTCAAATAATAAAGGAAGACCAAAACTTAAGGGTTATGTTTCAAACAAACTTGGTAAGTTAGGGTATTAAATCTATTTGACTATATTGTTCTTGAAGCTGAGTGTTATGCATAGTATTTCAATAACACCTAACCATTTATAAATGTGTTCAATGGAAGAATGTTTTTACCTCCACCCTCAATTCATGAAGTATTTCCTCCTGGGAAGTATTTACTCCATCTTGTTACTTCCGCTCTACTACTTAAACATATAAATTTATGTTTATAAGCAAAAACAAAAAATCACATTTCTATACTTTCCCTTTGGGTGTTATTAAACTAGTTGAAGAATTAAATCTCTCTGCTGGTTTCTTGCTTTTTTAAAAAATTAAAATAAAAAGAATTAAAAATTAGTCAGGCACAGTGGCTCATGCCTGTAATCCCAGCACTTTGGGAGGCTGAGGCGAAAGGATCACTTGAGCCCAGGAGTTTGAGACCAGCCTGGGCAACACAGTAAGACCCCACCTCTACAAAAAAAATTTAAAAGTTAGCCAAGGGTGGTGGCATACGTCTGTAGTCTCAGCTACTCAGGAGGCTGAGGTGGGAGGATCGCTTGAGCCTGGGAGGCTGAGGCTGCAGTAAGCCACGATCATGCCACTGCACTACATCCTGGTTGACAAAGCAAGACCGTATCTCAGGGGGGAAAAAAAATTAAGGATTAAGAAAAACATCTGACAAAGGACTAATATCCAGAATCTACAAAGTATGCAAACAAATCAGCAAGAAAAAAAAAACAAACAATTCCATCAAAAAGTGGGTTAAAGACATGAATAGACAATTCTCAAAAGAAGATATACCAACCAAGATAGGCCAACAAGCTTATGGAAAAATGCTCAACATCACTAAGTATCAGGGAAATGCAAATCAGAACTACAATGCGATGCCACCTCACTCCTGCAAGAATGGCCATAATCAAAAAATAAAAAACAAACAAACAGATGTTGGCATGGATGCAGTGAAAAGGGAACACTTTTACACTGCTGGTGGTAATGTAAACTAGTACAACCACTACGGAAAACAGTGTGGAGATTCCTTAAAGAACTAAAAGTAGATCTACCATTTGATCCAGCAATCCCACTACTGGGTACCTACCCAGAGGAAAAGAAGTCATTATACAAAAAAGATTCTTGCACACGCATGTTTATAGCAGCACAATTTGCAATTGCAAAAATATGGAACCAGCCCAAATACTTATCAGTCAATGAGTGGATAAAGAAAATGTGGTATGTATACACACACACACAAACATACACACACACATATATACACATATATATACACCATGGAATACTATTCAGCCATAAAAAGAAATAATAGCATTCACAGCAACCTGGATAAAATCGGAGACTATTATTCTAAGTGAAGTAACTCAAGAATGAAAAACCTAACATTGTATGTTCTCAGTCACATGGGGGAGCTAAGCTATGAGGATGCAAAGGCATAAGAATGATACACTGGACTATAGGGACTGTGGGAAAGGGTAGGGGTAGTGAGGGATAAAAGACTACACACTGGGTACTGTGTACACTGCTTGGGTGATGGGTCCACCAAAATCTCAGAAATCACCACTAAAGTACTTATTCACGTAATCAAACACCATCTGTTCCCTCAAAATCTACTGAAATAAAAAAATAAAAGAAAACCTTTTTCCATACAAAATGTGGCTTCCAGATCCTTAATTAAGTAGGAAAGTCACAGCCTTTTATGTTTCCTTTCTGTTAAATAACACAATAAACAAAAATACAAGTTCAATATCTTAATTTAAAAAATAGGTTTCAACTTAACCTGATCATATTATTCTACAAAAATTTAATTGAGAACCAAGTTACTCTAATGTGGCCAAAAGCTATCAGGTTTCCTGAAGTTAGTGAGACATCTAGTGGTAAATACAAAGTGGCTAGAGAACTTTGCATTTAAAAAATTTCTTGGCTGGGTGTGGTGGCTCACGCCTGTAATCCCAGCATTTTGGGAGGCCGAGGCTGGCGGATCACGAGATCAGGAGATAGAGGCCATCCTGGCTAACACGGTGAAACCCCATCTCTACTGAAAATACAAAAAATTAGCCGGGCGTGGCGCCATGCACCTGTAGTACCAGCAACTCGGGAGGCTGAGGCAGGAGAATCGCTAGAACCCAGGAGGCACAGGTTGCAGTGAGCTGAGATCGCCCCATTGCACTCCAGCCAAGAGCGAAACTCCATCTCAAATAAATAAATAAATGTCATTATGGTGTATAGGCATACATAAAAACCTGTGTAATAGAATAAAGCTATCATTTTTAAGGCCTTGAATTAATAAAATATGTAGTGAAACAAGATTAAGACGCTAGCATATCTAAAGGGAAATTTTTAAAGTTAAACTTCCTTACATTATAGACAAGGTTAACCTCCTTATTGCCAAGGGCTTTGAAATTAATAATATGAGAAGCAGCATACAAAAACATTAAATTTATAAAAAGGTCTGAAATAAATGTTCTGGAGGAGTAATCTTATTCTACTTCTCTATACCTAAGAATTTAAAATATTAGAAATTACACTAAACTGCTTTTTGCAGCCTTTGGTTTTCAAAAACAATAATGGTCTAAAAATTACCCTAAAGTTTTTACTGTAAAGAATATTTTTCTATCCAAACCATTGTAAGAAAAGCCTGTATCTGACAGTCATATAGGTATAATATAGAAATTATACACTTTATAATCAATTTGTTCTAGAAATATTAGTTGAAGTTGATGGTGTTACTATACACCCCATTTTAATGATCATATGTTAATGTGTCACAAAGAACAGAAGTAGCTTGATGGATGAAATTGGATTCTAACCCCCAATTGCCTGAGGAATCTAAAATTTGGGATCAAATTATTAAATTAGCCCCACCTTCTTAGCACTGACAAATACCAAACAGTTCACTGATTGTGGTTTTAAGAATAATATGTGGTGGCCAGGCGTGGTGGCTCACGCCTGTAATCCCAGCACTTTGGGAGGCCGAGGTGGGCGGATCACTAGATCGGGAGATGGAGATCACCCTGGCCAACATGGTGAAACCCCATCTCTACTAAAAATACAAAAAAAGCCGGGCATGGTGGCAGGCACCTGTAATCCCATCTACTTGGGAGGCTGAGGCAGGAGAATCGCTTGAACCCGGGAGGCGGAGGTTGCAGTGAGCCAAGATCGTGCCACTGCACTCCAGCCTGGGCAAAAAGAGTGAAACTGTGTCTCAAAAAAAAAAAAAAAAAAAGAATAATATGTGGAAAAGTCTAATATCAATTGTGGGCACTGATCTCATGGTTCAAATATTTCCTCTTCTTCAGAAAGAGAGAGTGTGTATGAGTGTGTGAGAGAGTGTGTGTGTGTGTGTGTGTCACCATGCAAGAAATGTTTATACCTTTCAGTAAAAGGGCAATTCCACAATAAGGTTATTACCAAGTAACTAAAGTTTATACAGCATCTTGAAATCAAAGATACTCTATAAATGTAAAATACTAACATGGTATTAACTTAAAGCAAAGAACAATAATTTTAAAACATCTTATAGCCCAAGTGTATTGTAAACCAAATATAAATTCACTGTGAGATCTGTCTTTTTTTAAGTGATTTTTTTTCCTCTATTAGGGAACCCAGGTCTAAACGAATTGTTAAACACTTAGTCTAAAGGTATGCCAAACATTTCTTAAGGTTTTTACAAAGAATCAACTTTTTTTAAAAAAACAAAATGAGGCCTAGGTTAAATATTTTATTTGGCTTCTCAAGATGGACTGAGAAGTTGGGCACCAGCTCCAGACCAATTCCTGGACGCACATCAAACACAGCCCTGTCATTTATCCTGTCAGTCAAAACAATCTTTTCCATCTAACCTTTAATGTTTATGTCCTAAAAAGCTGCTAATTAAATCCAGCTCTTGAGATCTATTTGCTAAAATATATCCCATCTAATTTGTAAATGATGAACAAAAATGAAAAAAAAAAAGTTCACTTTCCTGGCAAAACAGAAGACTCCACTGTAACCAAAGGAGGAAGGACAATGTTTTTAACATTTGTCAAATTTTAAGAGAAAACTATTCAGAGACAAATAGTTGTAAGAAACTCAGAGTACCTCAAACTGTTTTTACTATTAAGTGGACACAGGGTATTTAAAAAATCCTCAGAAAAACCTGAAACAAAATCACTCTATAAATGTAGTTCAATATTCCCTCTTCCCCTAAAATATAAGCATAATCTTTCCTCTTAACAAACTTTACTTATAAATTTTTATAATGTATCATAGGCAGTACGGAAACCACAGATAAACACTTTAAGATCTACTGAGTCATACTTAAAACCTCAACTCATTTTATCTGCAGAAAATCAAAATCCCTATTTTTTCCCTCATTTTCTCTATGTAGCCTTGAGGGAAGTAAATGGAAACAGCTTATTTCTGATGCTTTCTGCACACCTGGGATCGCATGTTCTTTCGATGATCACTGATTCCAGATAGCAACAGATAAACTCTAAAGCAACAAAGATCCCCTAAAAAGGTTTCCACTGACTTCTCCCAATATAAGGACATTGAATGGGGGGAAGTTGGGGGGAAATACAAGTATCCTCCAATCCAGGTTTTCCATTAAGAACCACTCAGTTAATGATTCCCTGCATTTTTCCTTAGGGAAAGCAAAACTTGTCATGAAGGTCATGTATTATTTAAATCGCAGCCAACAGACATTCAAGCTAAATTCTCAAATACCAAATTCACTGCAAGTTTTCATCTAGCTGTACTGGGATCTGACACACATGCATTCAACTACAAAATTAGCCCAAATAAATCTCAAAGTCTAGTGTGGGCAAACATAATTACAGTTTATTCGTACACGTGCACGCACACACAAATCCTCTACGGAAAATTATCTTTCTCACCACTCATCCGAATATAAACGTGGACAATTTATCAGGGGTAAATGGTGAAGGTAGGATAACGTCGTGATTTCAATTCCTTTTCAAACCAAATACAAGTTTTCCTAAAATGGGGGTGACATGTCCATGTAAGAATACCAAAAATGGCACTGTAAGCAAAAATGTACCTGTAATGTTAAAGATTTCATGCGCCTGGAATCATAAACACTTTGTAAGTGTAGTCTTCTATCTAGCAACCCCTCCGGACATTATTTTCCATTTAGAAAAAGGAAGGGGGAGGGTGGGGAGAGTAAGAGAAAGTTTGCTCTAAAGTTTGTATGAGCACATAGTTAGAAAAGTACCCCCTCCCCACCCCCGCCAAAAAGTGTGTTTTTAAAGCAGGTCTGGAGTTAGAAGTGACACAAGTTCTGCGGCCTACAAGGTACAACCCCAAACATGCCACCCTACAATCAGACACTTCCAAAACACAGTGTACAATGAGCCCGAGCCGTCGGATCAGACAGGCACACGGGAAAAGTCAACCTCAGTCTCCTCTCCTCAGAGAGACGTGAGTTTAAGGTGTGCGGCCCCGGCAGCGGTAGCCGGAGGCGGAGAGTAAGGATTTTGCACGCGGGCATAAGTAGGTGTGCAAGGTAACAACCCGGGAACACACACGCACACACTTCCGTTAAGCGCTCCATCTTTAAGGAGTAAACACTCCTTAAAGTTGCGCGCAGTCAGCAACCGGATTCAATAATCCTCGCCACGAGAGCTCTTCATCCCCTTCACGATCCCACCTGGGCGGTAGCCCAGGGGCTCCTCCCCGAGCCCCGAGAGGCAGCATCGGGCTCCTTGACCAAGACTTTCGGACCTGAAATCCGCCTGCGATGCGAACCGATGTAACCTCCCCTCCACAAAAGACCACCCCCCCTCCCCAAGTCATCCTCGGCTTTTTAAAGAATGTCCAAACCGGAGCGAGTGGTTTTCCAATTACTCTCCCTGAACTAGGCCTTCCCATTCCTCCAACCCCCAACTCACCATTGATCGCGATCCTGGCCCTTCCCAAGTCAACAGGCACCCCCCGCCAGCTCGCCCACCCGGCGGCTGCCCAGCCCGGCCCGGCGCTCCCCCTCACCTGTCAGGTGCAGCTTGACGGGCCCGTTCCTCCGGCTTCCGGGGTTGGACATGTCCCCAGCGGCGGAGGCGGCGGGCAGGACGGGGACAGGGGCGACGGCGAGGCGCGGCGGAGTCACCACAGCGTCAGGGGCTGAGGCCCGAGCTTTTGGCGCTGCAACCGCCACGGCCGGAGGGTCCCGGACGTGCCGAGCGTAGTCGTCCTGAGCCGCGGAGGACGCGGGACGCCGAGCTCCCCGCTCCTCCCACTTCTCTTTCCTTGGTCTGGGCTGCACAACTAGGCGGCAGCCGGCCGCCCGCGCCTCCGCAGCATCCTCGCGGCCTCTGCGGCCTTTCCCTCCTCTCGTCTGGGCTAGGCCCAGTAGTCGACGGCGCTGGTCGGCTGAGGCAGGCGGTGCTCCGGCGGCGCCGGAGCAGGACTCTCGGCTTCTCCTCCTCCACCCGCCCTTTTGTCTGAGGGACCCGGGATTTTGCTTTTCCCTTATAGAAATGGTGGAGTCAGTGAAGAAATTAGCAGGGATGGATGTGGAGCTGACAGCTGAAGAAAGAAACCTCCTATCTGTTACATATAAGAATGTGATTGGAGCTAGAAGAGCCTCCTGGAGAATAATCAGCAGCCTTGAACAGAAAGAAGGAACAAGGGAGGAGAAGACAAGCTAAAAATGATTCGGAAATACCGGCAAATGGTGAGACTGTTGTACAACAGTCCCCCCTTATCCGCAGTTTGAGTTACCAGTGGTACAGTACAATAAGATATTTTTAGAGAAAAGAGACTACGTTCATGTAACTTCTATTAGAGTATGTTATAATTGTTCTGGTATTAATCTTTTTCTGTGCCTAGTTTATAAATTAAACTTTACCATGAGTATGTATGTACAGAACAAAACATAGTATATATAAAGTTTGGTGTTGTCCATGGTTTCAGCGTATCCACTGGGGGGGGTCTCAGAATGGATCCCTCTCAGATAAAAGGGAACTATCGTATTTTCAAGAAAAATGATGATGATGTGTTTTGGGTTAAATTTGTCCCATTCTTCTTTTTATTGAAAGACTAAGGTTTTTTTTTTTTTTTTTCTAATCCAATATCGTTGTTTTTAATCTCTGGGTTTTATACAACAGAAATTATCTGGGGGAAGGAAGCTCTTGTTACCTGAATATGTCCTAATTTTTGTCTCTTATTTTTATGGTTTTAGAAAATGTCTCTGAAAAGGGAGGCTTGTTTCTGTTGAGTGTCTGGCTTAGTTCTCAGGCTTATGTCTGTCAGTAATTTGGCCATAGTTGTTGGCATTCGAGGTCACAGCCTAGTGCTCACATGACTGTATATGTAGTACACATTTTATATCTTGGTAGAGTTGTGTCTTTTGCTCACGTGGATTAGGCTATAGAATATTCCACGGCAGAGGCGAATAACTTTTTCTCCTGGAAGCTGCAGTAGTGGGCAAAAAAGTGAGACCCTGTCCCTAAAAATAAAGTTGTAAAGCTTGGCCGGGTGCAGTGGCTCACGCCTGTAATCCCAGCACTTTGGGAGGCCAAGGCGGGTGGATCACAAGGTCAGGAGATCGAGACCATCCTGGCTAACACGGTGAAACCCCGTCTCCACTAAAAAAAAAAAAAAAAAAAAAAAAAAAAAAATTCTCCAGGCGTGGTGGTGGGCGCCTGTAGTCCCAGCTACTCCGGAGGCTGAGGCAGGAGAATGGCGTGAGCCCGGGAGGCGGAGCTTGCAGTGAGCCGAGATTGCGCCACTGCACTCCAGCCTGGGCAACACAGCGAGACTCCGTCTCAAAATAAATAAATAAATAAAAAAGTTGTAGGCTGGGATTGATGTTACCATTACTATGAAATATGTTGGGTCAAAGAATTTCGATGACCAATAGACAAGTTTTGTGTCCCAGAGGAATGAGGAAGTAAGAAAGTTCAAAGTGCTGAAGAAAGAAGTCCATGAGCTACACTGTGGGACTTGGGCTAGCTAGGAAATGGAAGCAGGAAGCAAAGAGAGCAACTGATAAATTGGGAGAAGATGTGAAAAGTTCAAGTCTGGATGTCTTAGGTGAGATATATGCATAAGAAAGAAAGAAAGAGGAGAGAGAGAGAGAGAGGGAGAGAGAGAGAGAGAAAAGAAGGAAAAGAAAGAGAAAGAAAGAGAAGAAAGGGAAAGAAAGAAAGAGAGGAAAGAAAGAGAAAGAAAGGAAAGAAAGAAAGAAAGAAAGAAAGAAAGAAAGAAAGAAAGAAAGAAAGAAAGAAAGAAAGGGAGAGAGTGTAGATGTCTTGATGAGTCCCTAAGTAGAAACACGAAGAGAAAAGGAACTAAAAGAGGAAGCCACGGCCAAGAGTGGAGCATTACAATGTTAAGACTTCTAGTATGGAGCAGCACAGTTAGGGGTATGGACAAGTGCAAGTCTTGGAGTAGAAAGCAAAGAACTCTGTTGAATGGAACGTGGCCACACCATACCTTGGTGTGATCTCAGGTTTTGGATAGGTTGGCTGTAGATAGTCATTGAATGTGGGAGAACAGCCTAGAGAGCTATTAATGACAGAAACTGACAAATAGAATGTAGAATATTAGCTTGTGAGGAGGAAGGGTTTGGAGTAACAGGAAAGTAGTCATTGAGTATGTGAGGAGCTAGGAGAACATGGAAATCTTTCTTCTCCTACAGCAGTCTCTATCTGAAAAACCATCAGGGAGATAGTTTATTCAGAAAATAGTTTTGCTTAGCTAAGATAAGGATGCAATTTCGGAAGAAAGAATGAAAGAATGTTTTACAGTGGAAAGCAGGTTCCAGGGCCATGAGAGGAACCTCGAAAGGTTCAACAGTAGTGCCATGAGTTCATAGAAAATAGGAAGCAAGCGGCCAGGCACAGTGGGTCACGCCTGTAAATCTCAGCACTATGGGAGGCCGAGGCAGGCGGATCACGGGGACAGGAGATAGTGACCATCCTGGCTAACATGGTGAAACTCTGTCTCTACTAAAAAAAAAAAAAAAAAAATTAGCCGGGCATGGTGGTGGTGCCTATAGTCCCAGCTACTCGGGAAGCTGAGGCAGGAGAATGGCGTGAACCCGGGAGGCGGAGGTTGCAGTGAGCTGAGATTGCGCCATTGCACTCCAGCCTGAGGGACAAAGCAAAACTCCATCTCAAAATAATAATAATAATAACATAAAATAAAATAAAAATAAGGCCAGCACAGTGGCTCACCCCTGTAATCCCAGCACTCTGGGAGGCCAAGGCGGGTGGATCACTTGAGGTCAGGAGTTCAAGACCAGCCTGGCCAACACTGGGAAACCTGGTCTCTACTAAAAATGTAAAAAATTAGCCAGGCATGATGGCACATGCCCATAATCCCAGCTACTCAGGAGGCTGAGGCAGGAGAATCACTTGAACCTGGGAGACGGAGGTTGCAGTGAGCCGAGATTGTGCCACTGCACTCCAGCCTGGGTGATAGAGCGAGACTGTCTCAAAAACAAAACAAAACAAAATAGTATTTGAGAGAGAAGCAAGGGACAGATAGATATAACTATTTTAGAGGTTTCCTCAAGCCTAACAAGATGGTGGCTTCCTGCTTAGCAGGTGGTCTTCCAGGAACCCAAAGCCCCGGACCCAATAGTGGGTTCAACAGAACTATCCAGCAGCTGCTTCACCAGAGTGTGTGAGGTGGAAGAGAAGAGAGAAGGACAGAAGCAGCCCATGGCACTGATGAGAACACTCCATTCTCCTCAACCCCCAGGAAAAAAAAACACTTGAGAGACAAGGCCTGATAGAAAACAAATTTTTGAGAACAATGTCCCCAGATAGCGCAGAAAGCTGCCAAAGGAGTTCCTCGTGCTCTCCTATGAAGCAGTGTGTCTCCGCTATAGACTGAATGTTTGTGTTCTCCCAAAATTCATGTACTGAAATCCTAACTCCCAATATGACAGTCCTGGGAGGTGATTGGGTCATGAAGATAGAGCCTTCATGAATGAGATTAGTGACCTTATAAAAGGGACTGTAATCCTAGCACTTTGGGAGGCTGAGTTGGGTGGATCACCAGAGGTCAGGAGTTCAAGACCAGCCTAGCCTAGCCAACATGGTGAAACCCCGTCTGTACTAATAAATACAAAAATTAGCTGGGTATGGTGGCAGGCACCTATAATCCCAGCTACTCAAGAGGCTGAGGCAGGAAGAATTGCTTGAACCTGGGAGGCAGAGGTTGCAGTGAGCCCAGGTCACACCACTTCACCCCAGCCTGGGTGATAGAGCAAGACTCTGTCTCAAAAAAAAAAAAAAAAAAAAAAAAACGGCGGGGGAACTCCTGAGAGCTCCCTCACTAGACACCAAATCTGCCAGCACCTTGATTTTGGACTTCCCAGCCTCCAGAACTATGAGAAATAAATTTGCTTTCTTTTCTTTTTTCATTTTTTTCCTTTCTTTTTCTTTTCTTTTCTTTTCTCTTTTCCCCCCTGTCTCTCTCTCTCTCTCTCTTGCTCTCTCTCTTCCTCCCTCCTCTCTCTCTCTCTCTCTCTCTTTCTTTTAGATGGCCTTGCTCTGTCACCCAGGCTGGGGTGCAGTGGCATGATCACAGCTCACTGCAGCCTTGACCTCCTGGGCCCATGCAGTCCTCCAGCCTTAGCCTCCAGAGTATCTGGGACTGCAGGCACATGCCATCACACTCAGCTAATATAAAATGTTTTTGTGGAGACGGGATCTCATTTAGTTGTCCAGGCTGGTCTCAAACTCCTGGGCTCAAGTGATCCTCCTGCTTTGGCCTCCCAAAGTGCTGGGATTGCAGGAGTGAGTCGCCATACCCAGCTGAGAAATAAATTTCTGTTTTTTGTAAGCCACCCAGTCTATGGGAGTCTGTTATAGTAGCCCGAATGGACTAAGATAGCCCCAAGGAAAGTCTTTCTGGCTTGGTCCATAGGCAGATGATTTCCTCGCCCCCACAGTGCAGACCCCAGTGAGAGGTCCTTCATCCACTGGCATTTCAGCTTTAGTTATTCTCCTTTGGAGATTTTGTGTTTTGTTTGAAGGAAGGACACTATATTCTACAGTGTCCTGGAAGAGATATGCTGACACAAAGTGCAAGCCAAAAGCAAAGCAATCAAAAGTGATAGCCTTCTTTCCTTTCCTATGTTTCTGATTCTAGTGCTCTGGCTCCAGTCTGGGGACATCATGTGGCAGGCAGATAAAACCAACACTCACAGAGGCCTCATTGCAATACATACTGTCTGAGAGGACAATATTTAACCAAAAAACCTCAAGAGGCTGAAACCCTTCACTCCAAACTCTGAATCTTGGCTCAAAAGGCAAATATCAAATTAACTCTGGGTTAGAAGATAAAAGCTCCATGATGCAGAAAGTGAGGGCCTATAGCTTCTTTTTACTTATTTATTTATTTATTTATTTATTTATTTATTTATTTTTGAGACAGAATCTCGCTCTGTCACCCAGGATGGAGTGCAGTTGCGTGATCTCGGCTCACTGCAACCTCCACTTCCCAGGTTCAAGCGATTCTCCTGCCCCAGCCTCCCAAGTAGCTGGGACTACAGGTGCCCGCCACCATGCCCAGCTAATTTTATTATTTTTAGTAGAGACAGGGTTTCACCATATTGGCCTGGATGGTCTCGAACTCCTTACCTTGTGATCCGCCCGCCTCGGCCTCCCAAAGTGCCGGGATTACAGACATGAGCCACCACGCCTAGCCTTATTTATTTATTTTTGAGACAGAGTCTTGATGTATCACCCAGGCTGGAGTACAGTGGCAAGATCATGGCTCACTGCAACCTCCGCCTCCCAGGCTCAAGTGGTTCTCCTGCCTCAGCCTCCAAATAGCTGGGATTACAGGTGTGTGCTACTACGCCCAGCTAATTTTTATATTTTTAGTAGAGACGAGGTTTCACCATGTTAACTAGGCTGATCTCGAACTCCTGACCTCAGGTGATCTGTCCACCTCAGACTCCATAAGTGCTGAGATTACAGGCGTGAGCCACCACACCCGGCCACCCATAGCTTCTTAGTGGTCACTTGGCACAAACAAGGAAGCCTTGTCACTGCTTAGACAACTCAAGGCCACTTAAGGACAACCACCAAAATCAAAAAGAAAGGGTACCTCATGACTTTAGGGCTAGCTGTGTCCCATCAAAGTGGAAGGCCAGGTCCTGGCCTTAGCATAGGACCTTATCGGAGAGTAACGAGGGGAGAGGCTTCAGAGTGAAAAAACCAGCCAGGCATGGTGGCTCACACCTGTAATCCCAGCACTTTGGGAGGCCGAGGTGGGTGGATCACTTGAGGTCAGGAGTTCAAGACCAGCCTGGACAACATGGTGAAACCCTGTCTCTACTAAAAATACAAAAATTAGCCGAGCATGGGGGTGCACACCTACAATCCCAGCTACTTGGGAGGCTGAGGCACGAGAATCACTTGAACTCTGGAGGCAGAAGTTGCAGTGAGCCAAGATCACACCACTGCACTCCAGCCTGAGTAACAGAGCGAGACTCTGTCTTAAAAAAAAAAAAAAAACAACAACAAACAAAAGTGAGAAAACTGGGCCTGGTTCCAGCTCTGCCATGACTGGCTGATCAACCCCGGACAAACCACCACACCTGTCCCGGCCTCTGCTTCCTTATGCATCAACAGGAAGGTAATAATACCCATCACGCAGGGCAGTGGTGAGGCTCAGAAAGCATATTAGTAGACCACGTGGAAGAATTCTGCTTACCCCTGTTTTGAAGGAGCGATTAATCATGTATAGAAATTAGGTGTGAGTCTCAGGATGTTAGAGGCCAAGGTGGGTGATATTAAGATGTAATTCCATCATTGCTGCTGTGATAATCATCATCCTTGTATTCTTCCGATTTCCTCACCTCCTACTTTATTTAATGGTTTCAGCAAACCTGTGAGGAAGGTAAGGAAGGGCAAATAATAATGATGTCCATTTTAGAGAGGAAAGAAAGGCAAGAAGAGTTTAAATATACTGTCAAACGCTGCCTGGCTGGTTTGCATGACAGGGTTTTCTCTTCAACCTAGTTCAGGAGCTGAACGTCCCCATCTTCAGAATAGGTGCTAGTCAAGACCAGAGTCCTTCTATGGATGAACTGTAAGACAAAAAAAAAAAAAAAGAGAGAGAGAGAGACATGTATATTAGGAGACTAACAGACATTAAATAATGGGCATGAGGGTTCTTTCTGGGGGTGATGACAATATCCTAAAATTAGATTATGGTGATGGTTTTACAACTCTGTAAATATAGTAAAAAACATATATTTGTACACCTTAAGTGAATTTCATAGAATGTAAATTATATGTCAGTCAGGCACAGTGGCTCACGCCTGTAATCCCAGCACTTTGGGAGCCTGAGGTAGGCAGACTGCCTGAGCTCAGGAGTTTGAGACCAGCCTGGGCAACATGGCAAAACCCCATCTCTACTAAAAATGCAAAAATTAGCTGGGTGTGGTGGCTCACACCTGTAATCCCAGCTACTCAGGAGGCTGAGGATCACTTGAACCCGGGAGGCAGAGGTTGCAGTGAGCCAAGATTCATGCCACTTCACTTCAGCTTTGGTGACAATGTGAGAACCTGGCTCCAAAATAAAATAAATAAATAAATAAATAAATAATATTCCCAACAAAGCTGTTAAAGGACATACCATTTTTTTTAATGGGCAAGATGAAACTACTGTGGCTATGGATGCATATTTGAGTGATAAAACTCTAAAGAAATGCAAGGAAGTGTTTGGCGTGAATGTCAAGACTCCTTTCAGGCACAGGGAGGGTTTTGTGATTAGAATGGGGCACAGGAAGGCGCTTCTGGGGTGGGCAGCAGGTGCTATTTCTTGACCTGAATGATAGTTACAAGGGTATTTACCTTATAATAACTCATTAAGCACCACTTGTTTTGTGTAGTTTTCTGTATCTGTTTTCTTATATAATAAAATGGTTGTTAAAAATAGGGGAAATCAAGTATGAAATAACACCTGTGTCAGACATACTGTAGAGTGGCCCCCATTAGCCCCACTTCCTGGCATTCATGTCCTTCTGTAATCCCCTCCCCTTCAGTGTGGGTGGTAACGTGACTTGCTTCTAATCAATAGAAGGCAAAGGCAATGGGATGTACGTGATTACGTGTTTATGTGGTTATGCTATGTAAGATTTTGTGTCAGCCGGGTGCAGTGGCTCATGCCTGTAATCCCAGCACTTTGGGAGGCTGAGGCGGGAGAATCACGAAGTCAGGAGTTCGAGACCAGCTTGGCCAACATGGTGAAACCCCATCTCTACTAAAAATACAAAAAAAAAATTAGCCGGGCGTAGTGGCAGACATCTGTAATCCCAGCTACTCGGGAGGCTGAGGCAGGAGAATTGCTTGAAACTGGAAGGCGGCGGATGCAGTGAGCCCAGATCACACCACTGCACTCCAGCCTGGGCATCAAGAGTGAGACTCCGTCTCAAAAAAAAAAAAAAGATTTTGCGTCATCTGGCTAGGAGACCCTCTCCCTTATTGTCTTTGAGGAAACAAGCAGCTGTGTTGCAAAGGCCTATGGGGTAAGGAACTGAGGGCGGTCTCCAGCCAACAACCAGAAAGAAACTGAGGCCCTCAGTCCGGCAACTCAAGAACTGAAGGCTGCCAATGACCATGTAATTTGGAGGCAGATCCTTCCCCATTGGAGCCTCAGATGACCCTGTGTCCCCAGCTGACATGTTGATTGCAGCTTGTAAAACTCTGATGTAGGAGACTCAGCTAAGCTATGCTCTGACTCCTGACTCACAGAAACTGTGAAATAATATCTATGTGTTATTTTAAACCATTAAATTTGTGGCAATATTCTTACATAGCAACTGATAAGTAGCAAATTATGTTTAGAGATCCTCTGAGACTGCCCTCAGGTTCAGTGATTCACTAGAAGGACTCACAGAACTCAGCAAAGTGTTGCACTCATAGTTACAGTTTATTACAGTGAAAGGATACAGATTAAAATCAGCAATGAAGAAAGGCACATAAGGTAAGGTCCAAGAGAACTTCCAATTATCCTCTCCTGGCAGAGTCTTCAGGATAATGCTTAATTCTCCCAGCAATGATGTGTGGCTACAATGATGTGTGCACAGAGTATTACCAACCAGAGTAGCTCACCCATGCCTAGGTGTCCAGGGCTTTTACTAGGGATTGATCACATTGGCATGCTTCACTGCCCACATGGCTAACTTAGTCTCCTCAGCTTGACCTTGCAAGGTCAAGCTGATACTGCATGGCCCAAGGCCCACAGGTAAACAAAAACACTCTTATCAGGCAAGATATTCTAATGGCTTAGAGGTTATCTCCCAGGAGCCAGGCAGGGGCCTATTCTTTATTTGGAATGTCCAGGGTTCAAACATCCCAAGTTCATCCTGTATCACACAAAAGGATTAACTTCAAAAGTGGTATTCTTGGCCAGGTGTGGTGGCTCACACCTGTAATCCCAGCACCTTGGGAGGCTGAGGTGGGAGGACTGCTTGAGACCAGGAATTCGACACCAGCCTGGGCAACCTAGTGAGATCCCATCTCTATCGTAATTTTTCTAAAAAGTGGTATTCTTAAGTCAAGTTACTACCCTGATTGATGACAGGGAGAGAGACCAGGAAACCACTGTGTTGTAATCCCTTAGGAAACCTTACACCTTTACTTGCTTTATTATCAGGTAATTTCCAGGATGTAAGCCATACAGCCAGAAGGCAGGGTACAAAGGAGAGGAGGCAGAGATGGTACACTCATACAGAAGCTTCTCCTGATTGTCCACTGAATAGAAGGCAAGCTTTCCCTCCTCAAGGTTCAGCCAGATGCCCACCACCCCAGGTCTGTCTGAGCCAAGGACAGTTTCCTTGACCATGTGCCATGCAGAGAGCTGGCTAGTCCCCTTCCATTCCACACAACAAGAGTCCATAGTCCTTCCCAGGACCTGGTCGCGGCTCATCTCCCAGGAAGCCACCCCAACTGCCCAGTGGCTGCAATTCCTAGTGTCCACTTCCCAGTAATGCTTTCCAGAAGACAGGGCCTGGGAACATAAGACCTGGCTGGTAGAAAACCTCTCACAGCTCCAGCGATAGGGTTGTGGGCGGTGAGACACAGTCACTGTACGGGAATCCTTGGACACCTCCAGGCTGCAGGAAAGGCTCTTCAAGTTAAAGGTTGGATGGATGGCCCCTTTGGAAAAAAAAAAAGAACAATAAGAACATGGCCGGTCATCTTTTGATGGTCCATGCTAAGAAGTCTTCAAATAGCAACTTTGTATCTTTTGGTGTGATGTTTCACTCACACTAGCATTAAAATTGCTACATCACCCAACAGGAAGAAATGATAAATGTTTCAGATGATAGATATGCTAACTACCTTGATCGGATCACTATGCACCATATGTATTGAAACATCACTATGTATCCCATAAATATGTACACTTATTATATTTATTTATTTTTAAAATTTATTTAGAAAAGAAGCAGGATTTTGCCATGCTTCCTAGGCTGGTGTCGAACTCCTGAGCTCCAGCAATCCTGCCATCTCAGCCTCCCAAAGTGCTGCAATTACAGGCATGAGCCACTGCACCCAGACTATACAATTATTATATGTCAATTTTAAAAATCAGGCCAGCTCCTTCAGCCAGGTGCACTGGCTTACCCCTGTAATCCCAGCACTTTGGGAGGCTGAGGCAGGTGGAACACTTGAGGCCAGGAGGTCAAGACCAGCCTGGCCATCATGGCCAACTCCTGTCTCTATTAAACATACCAAAATTAGCTGGGCGTAGGCAAGGTGCGGTGGCTCACGCCCGTCTTATGGTGATTTATGACCACAGCTGTTTATACCTTCCCAGTTAAACTGAAACTTCCTGATTGAGGACCATGTCTTACTCACTTTGTATATTTCATTTGGTTTCCTATTGAGTGAATAAATTGCTAACACTTATACAGCATGACTACTCTAGGTGTTTTACTCATACTCACTCACTTAACCCTCATGGCAATCCCGCAAGAGAAGTACTATATTATCTCCATTTTACAGATGAGGAAACCCAGGCTCTAGGAAGCTTAAGTGACTTGCCCAAGATCACACAGCTAGTTAGTGGAGCTGCTGGGAGTCAAACCCAAGCAGTCTGGCTCTGGGATCCATGCTCTTAAGGACTATCCCAGACTGAGATGGCAGAAATACCTCAGCAGGTTTAGGAAGAGGCAGTTGGCTATAGTTGGTGGCCACAGCACAGATGCAGAAATACCTCAGCAGGTTTGGGAACAGGCAGTTGGCTGTAGTTGGTGGCCACAGCAGAGATGCTCAAAGGTTGGCGGGACTCTGAGTGCTCTTGGGTCTAGAGTCTCAACCTGCTTTGCCTTTGCAATCAGCTCCCCCCGTGGAGGGACCTGGAACAAATCCATGTGCAGTAAGCCAAGGAGTGGCCCTAGCAGTAGGGAGATGGATGTAGGATATTCTCGAAGCCCGCTCTGCGGCAAGCCAAACCCATGTTTAAAGTGGACCACATACTTACACTGAGCAAACCGAGAAGCTCTCCTGAGTGCAGGGTGGCTCTGGTCAGGCAATGGGCATGAGGAGGAAGACGGGGCTTCCAGGAGTTCTCCTAAGTAACAAAAAAATTAACAGAGGAAAGTCCCATCAGAAAAAGGCAAACTGAAGGTCTCCAAACATCATGGTCAAGGCACATGGCTGGCTTGTCTTCTTATCATCTACACATTTTTCAGTGTCAGGACTGGATCAGGCAGAGGCAGTGTGCCTGCAGCCCAGGTATGTGCACCTCCATGTTCTCACTGTGGACTTTTCACTCTTTCTTCACTAAGCTCTCAGCTCCTTGCTAGCAAAGATCTTGTTCATCTATATGTTCTAAGCACCAAGCCCCATGCCAGTCCCATAGATAGAAGGTGTTTTATGCACACTCATGAAATAAAATCAACTAATACAGTTCCAGGGGATTGCAGCACCCTAACACCTAGAATATCCAGGACCCCCAAGTCAATGTTTTAAACTGTTGTTACATAAACTGGGTAACATGAGTTGGGGTGAGATTCATCACCATTGCTGACACCTCCTAATTCCCTCTCGATGTGCTAAAGTTTAATTATTAACTTAAAGCAGTCATGTGTGCTAGAGTGCAATGACCACGTCAGGCAGATGATAAGTAAGGGAAGTCCTAGAGTGCAGACTTTGAAGGCAAAATCTTGTCCTACTTGTATCTTGAAGTGACAGCAGCTGCAGTGAATCTAAGACTCCACCTGAGAAGAGATGAAAGACCTTGTCTAGGGTGTGCCTGTGGTAACTTAGGTCATGAGAGCAAGAGAGCTGCCTGTAAAGAGGCCAGTCTCAAAATTCAACTCGGAACTGAAGCAATCCCTGTGTCCAGAGACAGAAAAATGGATAAAGAAATGTGATATATACATACAATGGAATATTATTTAGCCTTAAAAAGTAACGAATACTGCCTGGGCGCAGTGGTTCACACCTGTAATCCCAGCACTTTGGGAGGCCAAGACAGGCAGATCACAAGGTCAGGAGTTCAAGACCAGCCTGGCCAATATGGTGAAACCCCATCTCTACTAAAAATACAAAAATTAGCTGCGTGTGGTGACACATGGCTGTAATCCCAGCTACTTGGGAAGCTGAGGCAGGAGAATCACTTGAACCTGGGAGGCGGAGTTTGCAGTCAGCCGAGATCGCACCACTGACTCCAGCCTGGGAAACAGAGTGAGACTCCATCTCAAAAAAAAAAAAAAAAAAAAGTAATGAATTCTGCCTGGGCGTGGTGGCTCACGCCTGTAATCCCAATACTTTGGGAGGCTGAGGCGGGCGGATCACCTGAGGTCAGGAGTTCGAGACCTGCCTGGCCAACATGGCGAAACCCCATCTCTACTAAAAAATACACACACACACACACACACACAAAACTAGTCAGGGGTGGTAGCACATGCCTGTAATCCCAGCTACTACTAGGGAGGCAGAGGTGGGAGAATTGCTTGAACCCGGGAGGCAGAGGTTGCGGTGAGCCAAGATCGCACCACTGCACTCCAGCCTGGGTGACAGAGCAAGACTCCGTCTCAAAAAAAAAAAAAGTAACAAATTCTGATATATGCTACAACATAGGTGAGCTTGGAGGACATTATGCTAAGTGAAATAAACCTCTCACACACTAATACTGTATGATTCCACTCACATGAGGTATCTAGAATAGTCAAATTCATAGAACAGAAAGTGGAATAGTGGTTGCCAGGTAGGAGGGGGTTGAAGGAATGTGGAATTGTTGCTTAATGGGTATAGAGTTTCAATTCTGCAACATGAAACCAGGCATGGTGGCCCATGCTTATAGTCCCAGCTAGTTAGGAGGCTGAGGCAGCAGGCTCACTTGAGGCCAGGAGGAGTTCCAGACCAGCCTGGGCAACATAATGAGACCCTGTCTCTACAAAACAATTCTTTTTTTTTTTTTGAGACTGAGTCTCGCTCTGTCGCCCAGGCTGGAGTGCGATGGCGCAATCTCAGCTCACTGCAAGCTCCACCTCCCGGGTTCACGCCATTCTCCTGCCTCAGCCTCCTGAGTAGCTGGGACTACAGGCGCCCACCACCACACCCAGCTAATTTTTTTGTATTTTTAGTAGAGACGGGGTTTCACCGTGTTAGCCAGGATGATCTCGATCTCCTGACCTAGTGATCCACCCGCCTCGGCCTCCCAAAGTGCTATGATTACAGGCGTAAGCCACTGTCCCGGCCAAAACAATTCTTTAAATAGCTGAGCATGGTGGTGTGGGCCTATAGTCCTGGCTACTGGGGAGGCTGAAGCAGGAGGATTGAGGTTACAGTGAGCCATAGTTGTGCCACAGTACTCTAGCCTGGGCAACAAAGTAAGACCTGATCCTAAAAAATTAAAATTAAAGTTACAGTCCAGGCGTGGTGGCTCACACCTGTAATCCCAGCACTTTGGGAGGCCGAGACGGGTGGATCACCTGAGGCCAGGAGTTTGAGACCAGCCTGGCCAACATGGTGAAACCCTCGTCTCTACTAAAAATATAAAAAAAATTAGCCAGGTGTGGTGGTGGATGCTTGTAATGCCAGCTACTTGGGAGGCTGAGGCAGGAGAATCGCTTGAACCCAGGAGCCAGAGGTCGCAGTGAGCCGAGATCATGCCATTGCACTCCAGCCTGGGCAACAAGAGTGAAACTCTGTCTCAAAAAAAAAAATAAAATAAAATAAAGTTACAAAAAAGAAAATGATCTGGAGATTGGTTATATGATAATGTAAACATACTTAACAGTACTGAGCTCTGAGCTGCTACTTTTTTTGTTGTTGTTGCCGAGGCTGGAGTGCAGTGGCCTGATTTCGGCTCACTGCAACTTCTGCTTCCCAGGCTCAAGTGATCCTCCCACCTCAGCCTCCCAAGTAGCTGGGACTGGGACTACAGGTGTGTGCCACCATAGCAGGCTAGTTTTTGTATTTTTGGTAGAGAAGTGGGTCTCACTATGTTACCCAGGCTGCTCTTGAACTCCTGGACTCAACTGATCTGCCCACCTCAACCTCCCAAAGTGCTGGGATTACAGGCATGAGCCACTGCACCTGCCTGAGCTGCCTACTTAAAAATAGTTAAGATAGTAAATTTTATGTTGTATGTATTTTCACTACAATTTAGAAAAACACAAAATTCAGATGAATATCACTGTTCTCCTATTTTGCTGATACGATTATTACTTATTGTTAATAGGTTTTTAAAAAATGTTTGGCTGGGCACCGTGGCTCACGCCTGTAATCCAACAACTTTGGGAGGTTGAGGCAGGAGGATCGCTTGAGCCCAAGAGTGGGAGACCAGCCTGGGCAACATGGCAAAACCTCATCTCTACAAAAAGTACAAAAAATTAGCTGAGTGTGGTGGCACATGCCTGTAGTCCCAGCTACTTGGGAGTCTTAGGAAGGAAGATCACCTGAGCCTGAGAGATCGAGGCTGCAGTGATTGTGCCACTGCACTCCAGCCTGGGCAACAGAGAACCTGTGTCAAAATAAAAAAATTAATTAATTAATTAATTCAGCAGAATGCAGATTATAAACAAAAGAAAAAGAAAGGAAAAAAATTTTTTAAAAAGCATTTGCAAAACCTACTGAAGTTATTTACTTTTTTTTTTTAAATTAACACTCCCTAATACTTTTTTTATCTCTATTGATGAGAGAAATAATCTACACTTAACCATGGAAATTTTTTCCAAAGAATCATGGTTCTCCAGTTAAGAGCAACATTTTAAGCAGAGCAATATCATTAAACATGAAAATGCTATGAGATATGTCTCTAAAGTGGCACTACACAAATCTTACTTAAAATTCACTAGGGGCTCGGTATGGTGGCTCATGCCTGTAATCCCAGCACTTTGGGAGCCAAAGCACAAGGATTGCTGGAAGCTAGGAGATCAACACCAGCCTGGGCAATAAAGTGACATCCCTGTCTCTATTTAAAAAATAAATAAGGCCAAGTGCTGTGGCTCATGCCTGTAATCCCAGCACTTTGGGATGCCAAGGCAGGCAAAGGCAGGCAGATCACCTGAGGTCAGGAGTTCAAGACCAGCCCGGCCAACATGGCGAAACCCCATCTCTACTAAAAATACAAAAAGTATCCAGATGTGGTGTCGGGAGCCTATAATCCCAGCTACTCAGGAGGCTGAGGCAGGAGAATTGCTTGAACCCGGGAGGCGGAGGTTGTGGTGAGCCGAGATCGCGCCACTGCACTCCAGCCTGGGCAACAGAGTGAGACTCTGTCTCAAAATTAATAATAATAATAATAATAATAATAATAATAAACAAATAAAACAAAATGCACTAGGATACATGCTGAGATATACTTGAAGTGAGTCAAAGATTTAAATGTAAAACATGAAACCAAAGATTTAAATGTAAACTGTGTAAGTACAAACACACACATATACCTGAGAAAATTCCTTTCTAAACTTCAGGGGGTTGAGTTTTCTAACTAAAACTTAAAATCTACAATGCATAAAAGAAAAAATGAACAAAATTTACTACATGAAAATAGAAGCAAGACCTCTTCTCCACAAAAAAAATAAACAAAAAATTAACTGAGTGTGGTAGCGCCACCTTGCAGTCCCACCTACTCAAGCAGCTAAGGTGAACTAATTGCTGGAGCCCAGGAGTTCCAGGCCAGCCTAGGAAACATAGCAAAACTCTGTCTCTACCCAAAAATACAAGAATTAGCCAGGTGCGGTGACACGCACCTGCAGTCCCAGCTACTCAGGAGGCTAAGGAGGGAGGATCACTTGAGCCTGGGAGGTCAAGGCTGGGGTGAGCCATGATCGCACCACTGCACTCCACCCTGGGAAACAAAGTAAGACCTTGTCTCAAAAAATAAAAAAGAAACATTTAGAGACCAGGAATTGCCACAGCACTCTAGTCAACCAGTCTAGGCAACAGAACAAGACTCTGTCTATTGTCTCTAAAAAAAAAAAAAAAAATTGAGGCCAGACATGGTGGTTCACACCTGTAATCCCAGCAATTTGGCAGGCAGAGACAGAAGGATTGCTTGAGCCTAAGAGTTTGAGACCAGCCTGGGCAAAACAGTGAGATTTCATCTCTATAAAAAATTATGTAAAGGCCGAGCGCAGTGGCTTACTCCTGTGTAATCCCAGCAGATTGGGAAGCCAAGGCAGGTGGATCACCTGAGGTCAAGAGTTTGAGACCAGCCTGACCAACATGGGGAAACCCTGTCTCTGCTAAAAATACAAAAATTAGCCAGGTGTGGTGGCACAGGCTTGTAATCCCAGCTACTTGGGAGGCTGAGGCAGGAGAATCACTTGAACCCAGGAGACAGATATTACAGTGAGCCAGATCACACCTTTGTACTCCAGCCTGGGCAACAAGAACGAAACTGCTTCTCAAAAAAAAAAAAAAATTACATAAATTTAAAAATGTCTATATGGCATTATAAAACCCATAAAAGATAAATAAAAAGACAAATGACATATTAAGGAACAAAATTTGCAATTCATATAACAGACAAAAGTTTAATCTCTTTAATTTACAAAGAGCTCCTAAATGTCAATTTTTAAAAGACCAATAACACAAGATATGAAAGACAATTCATGGAGAAACACAAATTAAAAGTGTAGTATAGGCCGGGCACGGTGGCTCACCCCTGTAATCCCAGCACTTTGGGAGACCGAGGCAAGCAGATCACCTGAGGTCAGGAGTCTGAGACCAGCCTGACCAACATGGTGAAACCCCATCTCTAAAAGTACAAAAATTAGTGAGGCCTGGTGGCAGGTGCCTGTAATCCCAACTACTCAGGAGGCTGAGGCAGGAGAATCACTTGAACCTGGGAGACGGAGATTGCAGTGTGCCGAGATCGGGCCACTGCACTCCAACCTGGACAACAAGAGCGAGACTCAGTCTCAAAAAAAAAAAAAAAGAAAGAGAAAGAGAAAAAAAACGCGCAGTATACTCTCACGTCAATGTATTTTCTTGAGTCAGAGTTTCATTCTTGTTGCCCAGGCTGGAGGACAATGGCACGGTCTTGGCTCACTACAACCTCTGCCTCCCGGGTTCAAGCAATTCACCTGCCTCAACCTCCCACGTAACTGGGATTACGGGCACCCACCACCAAGACTGGCTAATTTCACATCAATATTTTGACCCATGAGATTGGTTTAAAAAAAAAGACAAATGTTTGACAACATACTCAGTTGGCAGGTTGGGGACACACACTTCTTCTGTGGGAGTGAAGACTGGTATAACCCAACTGGAGGGTGATTTGGCAATGTATATCAAAATGACAAATGAATTTACCCTATGACCCAGCAACCTTCACTGGCAATTTGAGCTACAAATATATCTACACCCATATGAAACAATGTACATACACAGTTATTGATTTTAGCATTATTTGTCATTGTAAACAATTGGAAACAATCACGTATTCATCTGCAGAGGATGGAGTAAATAAATGTTGGCATACCCAGATATTGGAATACTGAGCAACTGTAAGAGAAAATGCCCTAGGTACTAACAAAAGCAAGGAAAAATGTCCTAACTACTGTACTATAAAATAAAGATGTATAAAGTAAAAGACAAAAGCAAAATGCAGGACAATGTATATAATGTGCTATCTTTTGTGTATTAAAAAAAGATTGGGAGAAATAAAAATATAAATTCATATTCGCTGACATTTGCATAAATAAATTCTGAACAGACACTCAAAAAAACGGTAATAAAAGTGGTGCACTGAGAAGAGAGAATGGGGCAATTGGCAAGGATGGAAGAGAGACTGGGCAGTATGCCCTTTTTATACTGTTTTTGTTTGTTTGTTTGTTTGTTTTGAGATGGTGTTTCGCTCATCACCCACACTGGAGTGCAGTGGCTCACTGCAACCTCTGCCTCCCGGGTTCAAGCAATTTTCCTGCCTAAGCCTCTGGAGTAGCTGGCACTACTGGAGTGTGCCACCACGCCCGGCTAATTTTTTGTATTTTTAGTAGAGACGGGGTTTCACCATGTTGGCCAGGCTGCTCTCGAACTCCTGACCTCAGGTGATCCACCCTCCTTGGCCTCACAAAGTGCTGGGATTACAGGCATGAGCCACCGCGCCCAGCCCTGTTTTGATTTTTGAATATGAAATTTTAAATTTAACCCCCCAAAATTTAAAAATTGATCTTAAATTTGTATAAATAAAATCACTAAGGAACCCAACCTAAGTTTAGAAGCACACAGAATACAAAGGTGCTTCTTTCTCAGATAATTTTTGGAACAATAAACTGCTCTCTAATTGTTTTCCTAAAGAAACTTTTTCCAAGGAATCATGCTTCTCCACTTACATAAGAAATGATTCTTTTTTTTTTTTTTTTTTTTTGAGACAGAGTTTCACTCTTGTTGCCCAGGCTGGAGTGCAATGGTGCAACCTCTGCTTCCCAGGTTCAAGTGATTCTTGTGCCTCTGCCTCCTGAGTAGCTGGGATTATAGGCACCCACCACCATGCCCAGTTAATTTTTGTGTTTTTAATAGAGACAGGGTTTCGCCAGGTTGACCAGGCTGGTCTTGAACTCTTGACCTCAGGTGATCCACACGCCTCGGCCTCCCAAAGTGCTGGGATTACAGGCATAAGCCACTGCACTGGCCAGAAATGATTTTTTAAGTAGCATAAGATTGTTTAAATATGAAAATATAAAGGATATAAAAGCTATCAGAAGAGGAAAAGCTACAGAAGAAATGCCTCTAAAGCATATGAAGATAGCAGTGGCCAGAGCAGGAGGAAGAACCCTGGGAGACCAGACAGAGCTAACGTCTAATGTCTGACAGGAAGGTGTTAGTTATTTTTCAATAACTCTGGAAGAACAACAGAGAAACTACAGGATCAGGACAGAAAGGTTCTTTTCTATATGGTACTGTTTAATATTAACATTAACACACTCCCCAGAGATTATATTTTAATAGACTGTATCAAGAACTAGTTACAAAGTGGCATGCTGGTTTTGTTTGTAGACAAGATCTCCCTCTGTTGCCCAGGATGCAATGCAGTGGCATGATCACTCAGCCTTGAACCCGTGGCTCAAGTGATCCTCTAGCCTCAGCCTACAGAGTAGCTGGGACTACAGGTGTGCACCACCACATCTGGTTACTTTTTATTTTTTGTAGAGACAGGATCTCTCTCTGTAGTCCAGGCTGGTCTTGAACTCCTGGCCTCAAGAGATCCTCTCACCTCAGCCTCCCAAAGCACTGGGATTACAGGCGTGAGCCACTGCACTTGGCCTATATGCTTTGTTAAGAAAGACATTTACAGCCAGGTGCAGTGGCTCACGCCTGTAATCCCAACACTTTGGGAGGCTGAGGTGAGCCTTGCAGTCAGGAGTTTGAGACCAGTCTGTCCAACATGGTGAAACTCTGTCTCTACTTAAAAAAAAAAAAAAAAAAAAGAAAGAAAGAAAAGAAAAAAAAAACCAACGCAAAAATTAGCCAGGCGTGGTGGCGCACGCCTGTAATTCTGGCCAAGATCGCACCACTGCACTCCAGCCTGGGTGACGGAGTGAGACTCTGTCTCAAAATAAAACAAAAACAAAACAAAATTATTAAAAAAAAAAAAAAGAAGAAGACATTTACTAGTTAAAAATTTAAGGCCAGGCACGGTGGCTCACGCCTGTAATCCCAACACTTTGGGAGGCCAAGGCGGGCAGATCACAAGGTCAGGAGATTGAGACCATCCTCGTTAACATGGTGAAACCCCGTCTCTATCAAAAACACAAAAAATTAGCCAGCATGGTGGCGGGCACCTGTAGTCCCAGCTACTGGGGAGGCTGAGGCAGGAGAATGGCATGAACCCAGGAGGCAGAGCTTGCAGTGAGCCCAGATGGTGCCACTGCACTCCAGCCTGGGCGACAGAGTGAGACTCCATCACAAAAAAAAAAAAAAAAAAAAAAAAAAAAATTAAAAGTGGCCTATTTCAGAATCTCTGCAGTAAGATAACACACTTGATCAGTAAGGACCTGTGTGCATGGATCTTCAAAAATGAGTTTCTATCTATTAAGGACTTGTGATACATCACACCTTCAGTCATTGCCAAAAACATATTCAGCCACAAAATCACTTCAGCCCACCCCTACCTGATTCACGACACCACAGTGGTAATACAGCTGGACTCTGGGATCCTATCCCCAGAGAACAAAGCCATAGAGCACTCTGCTACTCCCCCCAACTTCCATATTTAATCCTCCTCCAATAAATAAGATCAGCTCACCCTGCATTTGTGCTTCAGGAGCCTCTTTCCAGGTGACGCTTTCTTGTAATTTTTCCTGAATTTCTTCTAGGTCATGGAGAATATCTCTGATTTTCCCTGCAGCTGTGTCGGAAGTCACCAGCTTTGGAGAAGCCATGGAAAGATCCACCCCAGAAGAAAAAGCCTATTGATAAACCATTTAAAACTGAATAAATGGAAGTCCCCTATGCAGTCTATCAACTATTATATTCAAGTTTTTCTATTCATCTATAATTTTCTATTTAATTCCCAGCAAGTTTTTAAAAACAAAATTAGGCCCTCAAAAAATATGCCTTGAAAAAAATCTGGAATAATTTGCTGTACATAGTACAGCAAAAATATCAAAGAGTGGTTATTTCTGGGTGATGGAGTTATGGAGCACTTTAATTTGCTTTATTTAATGCTATGTGCTTTCTAATATTTTGCACAATAAACATGGATTTCTTAGGTAATACCAAAAAAGTTTAACATTTCTAGGCGCATCTTATAGGGGCTTTATAAAATAAATACTACAGATAGTTACTGAGATAAACCATGGAGGTCAGAATAACCTTTTCGGCTAGGTGTGGTGGCTCACACCTGTAATCCCAGCACTTTGGAAGGCTGAGGAGGGTAGAACACCTGAAGTCAGGAATCCGAGACCAGCCTGGCCAACATGGTGAAACCCTGTCTGTACTAAAAATACAAAAATTAGCCAGGCATGATGGCAAGTGCCTGTAATCCCAACTACATGGGAGGCTGAGGCAGGACAATCACTTGAACCCGGGAGGTAGAGGTTGTACTGAGCTGAGAAGATCATGCCACTGCACTACAACCTGGGCGACAGAGCAAGACTCCATTTCACAAAAAAAAAAAAAGGAACCTTTTCCCACCTCTATCATTATATCATTTCACTTCGCAAGAGCTCCCTCTCAAATTGCCTGCATCCAGGTCCTGCTTTCTAGGGCCTTCAACACATGCTCCCTGATTTTCTTTAGCCTCAGGTCCTGTTCTTCCCCAATACAGCCCTTTATCTGCTCACCAACTTCAACCCCTTTCCTTCCCACCTTTGCATAATCCACTCCCCATTCTTTCCACCAATCAAAATACGGTAGTATTACACTTATTGAGTGTTTTCTACATGCTAGATATTGCCTTTCTCTCATTTGCATAACAACCTCACAAAGTAGGTTTATCAACCTGTAAAAAATCTCCGTTTTACAAAAGAAGATGAAATTCATGAAGGTTAACTAAATTGCCACAGTTAATTATAACATCCCACATTTTAACATTGCTCAAGCACTTTCTTATACCTCTTTTAATCCTCACAATAAACCAATGATGTGGCAGGCCCTGTATCATTATTTCTATATTACAGATAGGAACCTGAGACGCAGATAGATGAAATGACTTGCCCAAGGTCATAATACTAGTGAGTGACAATGTCAATTCTGAAAGTCAGACTCTCAGCGTTTCTATCCCAACACATCGCATCCCTAAAGATGGATTTATCCATACATTCAGTGGGTATTTGTTGAACCCCTACTGTAAGTGGGTACTTGGGTACTGTGCTAGCGCCTGGGGACACAATGGTGGACAAAAGAACAAAAGCATCAGCCAGGCAATGTGGCGCACGCCTGTAATCCCAGCACTTTGGGAGGCCGAGGCAGGTGGATCACAAGGTCAGGAGTTTGAGGCCAGACTGGCCAGTATGGTGAAACCCCGTCTCTACTAAAAATACAAAAATTAGCCAGGAGTGGTGGCGGACACCTGTAGTCCCAGCTACTCGGCAGGCTGAGGCAGGAGAATCACTTGAACCTAGGAGGCGGAGGTTGCAATGAGCTGAGATCACGCCACTGCACTCCAGCAAGACTCTGTCTCAAAAAAAAAAAAAGCATCAAAAGTCCCTATCCTCCTGAAGTTGAGAGTCCAGTGAAGGAAAAGGGAGGGGGGCAGACATTAATATAGAGTATGGCACAAGACATTACAAAGGTGCAATGGTGATAACCACTACAAATGAAAGGTACATGGAGTCCTCAGAGCCTCTAATGGGGAGATTTGATTTGTTCAAGGAAATCATTGAAGGCTTCTTTCTGAAGAAATGACGTTCTAGCTAGGATCTGAAGGATGAGCAAGTATTACCTAAGTGATGGAGGGAAAGGAGAGCATTCCATGAAGGGTGCCCTGTAGTGGGAAGACGTGAGACACACTAGAGCGACTGTGCGGCCAGTGTAGCTAGAGCGCACAGAGCCAGGCAGCATGAGCAGAGATGAGATTTGAGAGGCAGACAGAGATGGGATCCTACAGGGCTTTGCTGGTCCTGTGAGGATTTGGGTCTTACTCCTGAGCAAACTGATGTAATTTGAATGTTTTAAGCAGATGAGTTACATTTTCAGATTGATGTTTGTGGTAGTCACTGTGATGACCATGAGGAAAACAGACTAGAAGAGGGAGAGTGGAGCATTTGGAAGACTATGACAGCAATCCAGACATGAAATTATCAGAGGCTTGGATTAGAGCAAGTCTCAAAGGAGCTCAAGAATAAGTAAATAGATTTGAGAGGTAATTAGGCAGGTCTTAAAGCTACAATATGCTGCATATTAGGGTAAGGGAGAAGAAGGTAACATGATTTCCAGGTCTCTGGCTTCTGTACTTGGAAAGATAATGGGGCAAGCATTGAGATGAGAAATCCCAGAAGAGGAGCAGTTTAGGACGCATTAAGTGTGATGCTTTGAGATACCCAAGAAGAAAAGATGAGAAGGAAGACATAGCAGCCTAGTGCTCAGAGAAGGCTCCAGCCTGGAGCTATTATTTGTGCATAGAGGTGGTCATTAAAGCCATGGATGCAGGGAAGACTACCTGCAGGGGAAACAAAGGGACCTACAACTCAGCCTTGAGGAACTCCAGCATTTAATTCCTAAGCAGAGGAGAGAGAGCCTGTAAACAGACTGAGAAGGATCAGCCAGAGAGAGGTGGGGGAAAGCCAAAAGATTCCTGTCCCAAAAGCTAAGAATGAAGGTGTGGTCCACAGTGTCAAAGGCTGCTGAAAGGTCAATGAAGACAGGCACCAGAACGCTTATAGAGACAGGCACCAGAACGTTATACACAGAGGTCACTGGTGATCTTAGAGACAGCTTGTTAGGTGGAGTGATCCTAGCCCATCTGAAGCTTCCCAACCTTACCTCAAGCATTCCAAATGTCCAATCATCCATGTCTGGTAGTAAAGAGAACAATAAAAGATTGAGACTTATTGTATCCTTCAGGTTCAAATATGTTCATGTTGTTCCAGTTGAAAGCAATCCCTAGCCCTATTCCCTTCCACATCCTTTCCTCTCCCAGTGGAGCCTACCTTGCCCAGGATGCTCAGTTCGTTGTCTGGTCCAGATTCTGATAGGGGCCTCTGATTCTGCAGGCTTCTGACAATGTCTACAAGATGTTCCACCAGCTCTGTCAGCTCCTGAGCAACTTCTGTGATGCTCTTCTCTACTGCCACCTTCAAAATAGCAAAGTTCAGGTCCTGGGTTCTATAAAACTGGACCCAGGAACCACCACTAGACAGAGGGAATCATAAATACTGTGGTAATGGCATAAAAACAGACATACAGACCGATGGAATACAATAGAGTACCCAGAAATAAACTCTCACATATATAGTTAAATGATTTTTGACGAAGGTGCCAAGACCATTCAATGGAGAAAGGACAGTTTTTTCAACAAATTGTACTGTGAAAACTGGATATCTATATGCAAAAGAATATGGCTGGACCCTTACCTAACATCATATACAAAAACTAACTCAAAATGGATCAAAGACCTAAATGTAAGACCTAAAATAATACAGCTGTTAGAAGAAAACATAGGGCAAAATTTATGACATTGGATTTGGCAATGATTTATTGTATATGTCACTAAAAGCACAGGCAACAAAAGAAAAAAGGAGACAAATTGGACTACATGAAATGTTTAAACATTTGTGCATCAAAAGACACGAACAATAGAGTAAAAAGGCAATCCACAAAAATGGAAGAAAATATTTGCAAGTCATACATCTGATAAGGCATTAATACTGAGAATATACAGAGAATTTCTAAAACTCAACAATAAAAACATATCACTGCCGCTTGTTTGGTTGGTAAAACAAACAAGCAAAAACCCACAAACAACTGAATTTTGAAATGGGCAAAGAACTTGAATAGCTATTTCTCCAAAGAAGATATACAAATCACCAATAAGCACATGAATAGACACTCAAGATCACTAATCACTAGGGAAATGCAAATCAAAACATACAGTGAGATACCACCTCACACTCATTAGGTTGGCTACTATCAAAAAAAAAAAAACCAAAATAACAAATGTTGATGGTGTGGGAAGATTGGAACCCTCTGCACTGTTGGTGGGAATGATATAGCCACTATGGAAGACAGAATGGTGGCTGCTCAAAATATTAAAAATAGGCCAGGCGCAATAGCTCATGGCTGTAATCCCAGCACTTTGGGAGGCCGAGGCGGGTGGATCACCTGAGGTCAAGAGTTCGAGATCATCCTGGCCAACCTGGTGAAACCCCATCTCTACTAAAAATACAAAAATTCACCAGGTGTGGTTGCAGGCACCTATAATCCCAGCTACTTGGGAGGCTGAAGCAAGAAAATCTCTTGAACCCAGGAGATGGAGGTTGCAGTGAGCCAAGATCATGCCACTGCATTCAAGCCTGGGCGACAGGGCCAGACTCCATCTCAAAAAAAAAAAAAAAAAATATATATATATATATATATATATATATATATATGTACATATATGTAATTAGAATTACCATATGATTTAGCAATTCCACTTCCGGATATATAAGAATTGAAAACAGGATCTCAAAGAGATTCATAAACTCATGCCCATAGCAGTATTATTCCCACTAGCTAAAACATGGAAGCAACCCAAGTATCTGCAGACAAATGAATGAATAAGCAAAAAGTGGCATATACATACAATAGAATACTACTCAGCCTTAAAAAGGAAGGGAACTCTGACACATGCTACAACATAAATAACCCTTGAAGACATTATGCTAAGTGAAATAAGCCAGTCACAAAAAGACAGATACTGTATGATTCAACTTATATGAGGTATTTAGAGTAGTCAAAATCAGAGACAGAAATTAGAATGATGGTTGCCAGAGGCTGGGGGAAGAGGAAATGGAGAATTTTAATGTCCTCCTAGAATTCCACTTTTGCGAGTTGAAAAGAGTTATGGTACCCTGAAGAACCAGTCATGTTAATTTAAAATTTTTTAAAGTTATGGAAATGATGGTAGTGATGGTTTCAAAACATTGTGAATGTATTTCATATCACCAAACTGTATACTTAAAAATGGTTTAGGGCCAGAGAGAAGTGGGGGAAAGCCAGAAGACTTAAGGGTGGAGAGGGCAGAGCAAGATAGCCAAATAGAAGGCTCCATTGATCATCCCTCCCACAAGAACACCAAATTTAACAACTACACAAAAAAGCACCTTCATAAGAACCAAAAATCAGGGGTACTTACAGTACCTGGTTTTAACTTTATATTACTGAAACAGGCACTGAAGAGGGTAGGAGAAACAGTCTTGAATTGCCAATGCAACCCATATCCCATGTGTCAGGGGCCACATGCACAGAGAATCTGTGCACTCAGGAAAGGGAGAGCATGGTGATAAAGAGAATAGAAAGACTTTGCCTTGTCGCTTCACAAAGCAAAACTGGGCTGAATTCAGCTGACGCCTACCCACAGAGGGAGCATTTAGATCAGTCCTAGCCAGAGAGGAATCAAATCACCCACCCCAGTTATTGGAACCTGAGTTCTGGCAAGCCTCTCCACTGTGGGCTGAAGTGCTCTGGGGCTCTAAATAAACTTGAAAGGCAGTCTAGGCCACAAGGACTGCAACTCCTAGGCAAGTCCTAGTGCTGAGATGGGTCTCTGGACCGGCCCCGAGCCTGGGTGAATGTGCCACCATGAAGGGAAGGACACAAGCCTGGCTGGCTTTGCCATCTGCTGATTATAGAGCCCTAGGTCCTTGAGTCAATATAGGTGGTAGCCAGATAGTGGTTAACAAGGGGCTTGGGTAAGGCACAGTGCTGTGTTGGCTTTAGGTCTGACCCTGTGCAGTTCTAGTGGTCATGGCCACAAGGTGCTTCTGTCACCCCACCTCCAGCTCCAGGCAGCTCAGCACACAGACAGACTGTTTTGGAGAACGTATGAGAAGAGAACAAGAATCTCTGCCTGGTAATCCAGATAATTCTTCTGGATCTTATACAAGACCACCAAGGTGGTACCTCTAGTAGTCTGCAAGAGTCACAGCTTTACTGGGCTTGGGGTGCCCCCTAATGCAGATACGGCTTAGATCACAACGCCCAAGTCCTTTCAAATTCCTGGAAAGCCTTCCCAAGAAGGACAGGTACAAACAAGCCCAGACTGTGAAGACTACAATAAATAACTAACTCTTCAATGCCCAGGCACTGACAAACATCCACGAGCATCAAGACCATTCAGGAAAACATGACCCCACCAAACTAACTAAATAAGTCACCAAGAGCCAATTCAGGAGAAACAGAAATATGTGACCTTTCAGACAGAGAATTCAAAATAGCTGATTTAAGAAAACTCGGAGACATTCAAGATAACAGAGAAGGAATTCAGAATTCTATCAGGTAAATTTAACAAAATGATTGAAATAATTAAAAATCGGTTAAGAGTCATCACCACGCTCTCCCTCTCCCTCTCCCTCTCCCTCCACGGTCTCCCTCTGATGCTGAGCCAAAGCTGGACGGTACTGCTGCCATCTCGGCTCACTGCAACCTCCCTGCCTGATTCTCCTGCCTCAGCCTGTCGAGTGCCTGCGATTGCAGGCGCGCGCCGCCACGCCTGACTGGTTTTCGTTTTTTTTTGGTGGAGACGGGGTTTCGCTGTGTTGGCCGGGCTGGTCTCCAGCTCCTAACCGCGAGTGATCCGCCAGCCTCGGCCTCCCGAGGTGCCGGGATTGCAGATGGAGTCTCGTTCACTCAGTGCTCAATGGTGCCCAGGCTGGAGTGCAGTGGCGTGATCTCGGCTCGCTACAACCACCTCCCAGCCGCCTGCCTTGGCCTCCCAAAGAGCCGAGATTGCAGCCTCTGCCCGGCCGCCACCCCGTCTGGGAAGTGAGGAGCTTCTCTGCTTGGCCACCCATCGTCTGGGATATGAGGAGCCCCTCTGCCTGGCTGCCCAGTCTGGAAAGTGAGGAGCGTCTCTGCCCGGCCGCCATCCCATCTAGGAAGCGAGGAGCGCCTCTTCCCCGCCACCATCCCATCTAGGAAGTGAGGAGCGTCTCTGCCCGGCCGCCCATCGTCTGAGATGTGGGGAGCACCTCTGCCCCACCGCCCTGTCTGGGATGTGAGGAGCGCCTCTGCTGGGCCGCAACCCTGTCTGGGAGGTGAGGAGCGTCTCTGCCCGGCCGCTCCGTCTGAGAAGTGAGGAAACCCTCTGCCTGGCAACCGCCCCGTCTGAGAAGTGAGGAGCCCCTCCGTCCGGCAACCACCCCGTCTGGGAAGTGAGGAGCGTCTCCGCCCGGCAGCCACCCCGTCCGGGAGGGAGGTGGGGGGGGTCAGCCCCCCGCCCGGCCAGCCGCCCCGTCCGGGAGGTGAGGGGCTCCTCTGCCCGGCCGCCCCTACTGGGAAGTGAGGAGCCCCTCTGCCCGGCCGCCCCTACTGGGAAGTGAGGAGCCCCTCTGCCCGGCCAGCCGCCCCGTCCGGGAGGGAGGTGGGGGGCTCAGCCCCCCGCCCGGCCGGCCGCCCCGTCCGGGAGGTGAGGGGCGCCTCTGCCCGGCCGCCCCTACTGGGAAGTGAGGACCCCTCTGCCCGGCCAGCCGCCCCGTCCGGGAGGGAGGTGGGGGGGTCAGCCCCCCGCCCGGCCAGCCGCCCCATCCGGGAGGTGAGGGGCTCCTCTGCCCAGCCGCCCCTACTGGGAAGTGAGGAGCCCCTCTGCCCGGCCAGTCGCCCCGTCCAGGAGGGAGGTGGGGGAGTCAGCCCCCCGCCTGGCCAGCCGCCCAGTCCGGGAGGGAGGTGGGGGGTCAGCCCCCCGCCCGGCCAGCCGCCCCGTCCGGGAGGGAGGTGGGAGGATCAGCCCCCCGCCTGGCCAGCCGCCCCGTCCGGGAGGTGAGGGGCGCCTCTGCCCGGCCGCCCCTACTGGGAAGTGAGGAGCCCCTCTGCCCGGCCAGCCGCCCCGCCCGGGAGGGAGGTGGGGGGGTCAGCCCCCCCGCCTGGCCAGCCGCCCCATCCGGGAGGGAGGTGGGGGGGTCAGCCCCCCGCCCGGCCAGCCGCCCCGTCCGGGAGGGGGGAGGGGGGTCAGCCCCCTGCCCGGCCAGCCGCCCCGTCCGGGAGGGAGGTGGGGGGGGTCAGCCCCCCGCCCGGCCAGCCGCCCCGTCCGGGAGGGAGGTGGGGGGGATCAGCCCCCCGCCTGGCCAGCCGCCCCGTCCGGGAGGTGAGGGGCGCCTCTGCCCGGCCGCCCCTACTGGGAAGTGAGGAGCCCCTCTGCCGGGCCAGCCGCCCCGTCCGGGAGGGAGGCGGGGGGGGGGGGTCGGCCAGCTGCCCCGTCCGGGAGGGAGGTGGGGGGGGTCAGCCCCCCTTCCGGCCGGCCGCCCCGTCCGGGAGGTGAGGGGCGCCTCTGCCCGGCCGCCCCTACTGGGAAGTGAGGACCCCTCTGCCCGGCCAGCCGCCCCGTCCGGGAGGGAGGTGGGGGGGACAGCCCCCCGCCCGGCCAGCCGCCCTATCCAGGAGGTGAGGGGCGCCTCTGCCCGGCCGCCCCTACTGGGAAGTGAGGAGCCCCTCTGCCTGGCCAGCCGCCCCGTCCGGGAGGGTGGGGGGGGGGGTCAGCCCCCCGCCCGGCCAGCCGCCCCATCCGGGAGGTGAGGGGCGCTTCTGCCCGGCCGCCCCTACTGGGAAGTGAGGAGCCCCTCTGCCCGGCCACGACCCCGTCTGGGAGGTGTGCCCAGCAGCTCATTGGGGATGGGCCATGATGACAATGGCGGTTTTGTGGAATAGAAAGGCGGGAAGGGTGGGGAAAAAATTGAGAAATCGGATGGTTGCCGGGTCTGTGTGGATAGAAGTAGACATGGGAGACTTTTCATTTTGTTCTGTACTAAGAAAAATTCTTCTGCCTTGGGATCCTGTAGATCTGTGACCTTATCCCCAACCCTGTGCTCTCTGAAACATGTGCTGTGTCCACTCAGGGTTAAATGGATTAAGGGCGGTGCAAGATGTGCTTTGTTAAACAGATGCTTGAAGGCAGCATGCTCGTTAAGAGTCATCACCACTCCCTAATCTTAAGTACCCAGGGACACAAACACTGCGGAAGGCCGCAGGGTCCTCTGCCTAGGAAAACCAGAGACCTTTGTTCACTTGTTTATCTGCTGACCTTCCCTCCACTATTGTCCTATGACCCTGCCAAATCCCCCTCTGCGAGAAACACCCAAGAATGATCAATAAAAAAAAAATAAAAAATAAAAAATAAATAAAAAAAAGAAATAATTAAAAATCAAGCAGAAATTCTGGAATCGAAGAATGCATCTGACATACTGAAGAATGCATCAGAGTCTCTCAATAGCAAAATCGATCAAGTATTAGAAAGAATTAGTGAGCCTGAATTCAGCCTATTTGAAAATACACAGTAAGAAGAGACAAAAGAAAAAAGAGAATGAAGCATGCCTACAAGATCTAGAAAATGGCCTCAAAGGGGCAAATCTAAGAATTATTGGCCTTAAGAGGAGGTAGAGAAAGAAATAGTGGTAGAAAGTTTATTCAAAGAAATAATAGCATGGAACTTCCCAAATCTACAGAAAGACATCAATATCTACATACAAGAAGGTTATAAAACACCAAGCAGATTTAACCCAAAGAAGACTATGTGAAGGCATTTATAATAAAACTCCCAAAGGTTAAGGTTAAAGAAAGGATCCTAAAGCAGCAAGAGAAAAGAAATAAATAATATACAAGGGAGTTCCAATACATCTGGCAGCAGACTTTTCAGTGGAAACCTTATAGGCCAGGAGAAAGTGCCATGACATATGTAAAGTGCTGAAGGAAAAAACTTTTACCCTAGAAAACTATAATTTGTGAAAATAGCTTTGAAACATGAAGGAGAAATAGACTCTCCCAGACAAACAAAAGCTAAGGGATTTTATCAACACCAGACCTGTCCTACAAGAAATGCTAAAGGGAATACTTCAATCAAAAAGAAAAGAAGGCCAGGCGCAGTGGCTCATACTTGTAATCCCAGCACTTTGGGAGGCCACGGCGGGTGGATCACCTGAGGTCAGGAGTTCGAGACTAGCCTGGCCAACATGGTGAAACCCCGTCTCTGCTAAAAATACAAAAATTAGCCGGGCGTGGTGGTGGGCGCCTGTAATCCCAGCTACTCCAGAGGCTGCGGCAGGAGAATCGCTTGAACCCAGGAGGTGGCCTGTAATCCCAGCACTTTGGGAGGCTGAGGTGGGCAGATCACTTGAGGTCAGGAGTTCAAGACCAGCCTGGACAACATGATGAAACCCTGTCACTACTAAAAATACAAAAATTAGCTGGGCATGGTGGCGCATGCCTGTAGTCCCAGCTACTCGGGAGGCTGAGACAGGAGAATTTCTTGAACCCAAGAGGTGGAAGTTGCAGTGAGCCGAGATCACGTCACTGCACTCCAACCTGGGCAACAGAGTAAAACTCTGTCTCAAAACAAAACAAAACAAAACAAAAACCTCACTAGTAATAGTAAGGTCACAGAAAACCAATAAAAAATAACTACAACAACTTTCAAACATATAGATAGTATAAGATATACACAGAAATAACAAAAAATTAAATAGCAGGGGATGAATTTGAAGTGTAGAGTTTTTATTAGTTTTCTTTTTGCTTGTTAGGTAGTTCATGCAAGCAGTGTCAAGTTGTTATCAGCTTAAAACAATAGGTTATAAGATACTACTTGCAAGCTCATGGTAACCTCAAATCAAAAATCATATAATGGATACACAAAAAATAAAAAGCAAGAAACTAAATCATAGCACCAGAGAAAATCATCTTCATTTAAAGGAAGACAGAAAAGAAGGAAAGAAGGAAGAGAAGACCACAAAACAAAACAACCAAAGAACAAATAACAAAATGGCAAGAATTACTTATCAATAACATTGAATGTAAATGAACAAAAATCTTCAATCAAAAGACACAGAGTGGTTGACTGGATAAAAAAACAAGACCCAATGATCTATTCCCTACAAGAAACACACTTCATCTATAGGCACATATAGACTGAAAATAAAGGGATGGAAAAATATATCCCATGCCAATGGAAACCAAAAAAGAGCAGGATTAGCTATACATATATCAGACAAATAGATTTCAAAACAAAATCTATAATAAAAGACAAAGTTTATAATGATGGAGTCAATTCAGTAAGAAGATATAACAACTGTAAATATATATGCACCAACACTAAAGCACCCAGACATGTAAAGCAAGTATTATTAGAGCTAAAGAGAAGACAGACTCCAATACAATAACAGCTGGAGACTTCAACAACCCACTTTTGGCATTGAACAAATTATTCAGACAGAAAAGTAACAAGGAAATATTGGACTTAATCTGTACTGTAGATCAAATGGACCTAATGGATATTTATGGAACATTTACATCCACGCTACAGAATACACATGGATCTTTTCCTCAGCACATGATCATTCTCAAGGATAGGTCACAAAACCTAAGACCTAACATATGTCAGGTCACAAAAACAAGTCTTAAAACATTCAAAAAAAATTGAAATAGGCTGGGCGTGGTGGTTCATGCCTGTAATCCCAGCACTTTGGGAGGCCGAGGCGGGTGGATCACGAGGTCAGGAGTTCAAGACCATCCTGGCCAACATGGTGAAACCCCGTCTCTACTAAAAATACAAAAATTAGCCAGGTGTGGTGGCGTGTGCCTGTAATCCCAGCTGCTGGGAAGACTGAGGCAGGAGAATCACTTGAACCAGGGAGGCGGAGGTTGCAGTGAGCAGAGATCACGCCACCGCACTCCAGTCTGGCAACAGAGCGAGACGCCATCTCAAAAAAACAAACAAAAAAAATTTTTTTAGTATTTATTTTTTTTTACATGTGACTTTTTGTATTTATCATCTCTCAACTTTGTAGAGATGAACAGGCAGAAGAGTCAGAATTGAAGCTTGGAGCCCAAACTTGGGATTCCAAAATGGGGTAGAAGCCATATACGTTAGGAGCTTGGCAGCAGCCAAAATGGACTATTCTGTGGCCAACGAAGTCATCTGCAGGGACCTTGATGTTGGGGTACAGGATGAGCTGGAAAGAGGGTACCCGATGACCCATGTACACCAGGCCAATCAGGTGAGCAGTGTTGGGCAATCTGGGTAGTGTGTCTGCATTTCTCAGGCCGACACTGGTGGTGACTCCACCCTCCGGTATTGGCGGTTGTGGAGTTTCTTGTTTTTGCTGAATATGCTTTTATTTGGCTTTCTTGAGTTTTGCTCTGTGGTTCTTGAACCAGACCTGGAGTATTGTTGGGTGTATGTCTATTTTCGAGGCCATTTATTTCTGAGGGCAGGGGTTTGGGTATGGGTTCTCATTGAACAAGATGTTCAGATCTTCCAGTTGCTTCTCAGTGAACACAGTTCATTTCCTGTGTGAATGCATCTGGTCCTTGCCTTTAGGAAGATCCTCTGAGCCTGGCATCTTCTAATCCAGATGTGTGCCTGGGCTCAGGTGCAGGCATAAGTAGCAATATTTTTTTAAGGGGAAACAGGATGTTGCTCTGTTGCCCAGGCTGGAGTGCAGTGACATGAAAACAGCTCACTGCAGCCTCAACCTCCTGGATTCAAGTGTTCTTCGTACCTCAGTCTCGCAAGTAGCTGGGACCACAGCCATGTGTCATCACACCCAGCTTCTTTTTTCTTTTTTTTTTCATTGGGTCTCATAGCTTCTTTTTTCTTTTTTTTTTAATTGGATCTCACCATGCTGCCCAGGCTGGTCTTGAACTCCTGGGCTCAAGCAATCCTCCTGCTTCTGCCTCCCAAAGTGCTAGGATTGTAAGTGTGAGCCATGACAATCTGCCTGAAAAATTTCTTAAAATAAATTATAATGGGCCTGGCACAGTGGCTCATGCCTGTAATCCCAGCACTTTGGGAGGCCGAGGCAGGCAGATCACCTGAGGTCAAGAGTTTGAGACCAGCCTAGCTAACATGGTGAAACCCCATCTCTACAAAAATATAAAAATTAGCCTGGGTGGTGATGGGCACCTGTAACCCCAGCTACTCGGGAGGCTGAGGTAGGAGAATCACTTGAACCCGGGAGATGGAGGTTGCAGTGAGCCAAGATCGTGCCACTGCACTCCAGCCTGTGTGACAGAACAAGACTCTGTCTCAAAAAAAAATAATAATAATAATAATAATAAAAAGGAATAACATAGCTAGGAATAAATTTAATCAAAGAGGTGAAAGACTTATACACTTAAAACTACAAAAAAAAAAATCACTGAAGGAATTATAGACCCAAATAAAAATAAATAAAAAGACATTCTGTGTTTTAGGGAAAGAAGACTTAATATTGTTAAGATGTCAATACTACCCAAAGTGATCTACAGATTCAACATAATCCCTATCAAAATTCCAACAGCCTACTTTGTAGAAATGGAAAAGCCAATTTTCAAATTCAGATGGAATTGCGAGGGGTTCTGAATAACAAAAACAATCTTGGGGAAAAAAAACAAAAAACAAAGTCAAAGAACTCACACTTCTCTATTTATAAATTTACTACAAAGTTATAGTAATCAAAATAGTGTGGTACCAGCATAAGTACAGACATATAGACCAATGGAATAAAATGGAATGTACAGAAATAAAACTATACATTTATTTTGAGACAGAGTCTCACTCCATTACCCAGGCTGGAGTGCAGTGGTACAATCACGGCTCACTGCAACCTCAAACTCCCAGCTCAGGTGATTTCTCCTACCTCAGCCTCCCAAGTACCTGGGACTACAGGCACATGCCACCATGCCCAGCTAATTTTTTGTATTTTTCTAGAGATGGGGTTTCATCTCTAGATGAAACTTTGGCCTCCCAAAGTGCTGGGATTACAGGTGTGAACCACATGCCTGGCCCAGCCAAATGATTGTTGACAAGGATGCCAAGTCTAATCAATGGAGAATAGACTCTTCAACAAATGGTACCAAGACAATTGGATTTCCACATACAAAAGAATGAAGTTGGACCCCTAATTCACACCATATACAAAAATTAACTTAAAATTGACCAATTACCTAAACGTAAGCTAAAACCATAAAACTCTTAGAAGAGGCTGGCACAGTGGCTCATGCCTGTAATCCCAACACTTTGGGAGGCCAAGGTAGGCAGATCACTTGAGGTCAGCAGTTCAAGACCAGCCTGGCCCACAGTGAAACCCCGTCTCTACTAAAAATACAAAAATTATCCAGGTGTGGTGGCAGGCGCCTGTAATCCCAAATACTTTGGAGGCTGAGGCAGGAGAATTGCTTGAACCCGGGAGGTGGAGGCTGCAGTGAGCTGAGATCGTGTCACTGCACTCCATCCCTGGGAAAGGAGCGAGACCTCGTTTCAAAAAAAAAAAAACTCTTAGAAGAAAACATAGGGGTAAATCTTCATGAACTGAGATTTGGCAATGGATTTGTAAATATGACAACAGAAGCACAAGCAACAAAAGAAAACAACAGATAAAAATTAAATTTAAAACTTTTGCACATCAAAGGATACCATCAAGAAAGTGACAACGCTTAGAATGGGAGAATATATATTTTATAATATATCTGTGAGTCATATCTAATTTGATATCCAGAATATAGAAGGAATCTCTAAAACTCAACAACAAAAAGATAAACAACCCAATTTTAAAATGGTCAAAGGACTTGAATAGACATTTCTGCAATGAAGATCTATAAATGACCAACAAGCACAAGAAAAGATGGGCAACATCATTAGTCATTAAGGAAATCCAGATCAAAATCACAGTGAGGCTGGGTGCGGTGGCTCACGCCTGTAATCCCAACACTTCCGGAGGCCGAGGTGGGCAGATCACAAGGTCAAGAGATCGAGACCATCCTGGCCAACATGGTGAAAACCCGTCTCTACTAAAAATACAAAAATTACCTGGGTGTGGTGGTGCATGCCTGTAGTCCCAGCTACTTGGGAGGCTGAGGCAGGAGAATCACTTGAACCCAGGGGGCAGAGGTTGCAGTGAGCCAAGATCATGCCACTACACTCCAGCCTGGCAACAGAGCAAGACTCCATCTCAAAACAAAACAAACAAAAAAAATGTGGCACATCCACCCAATGGAATATCATTCAGCCCCATAAAAGGAATAAAGTTCTGACACATGCTACAACATGAATGAACTTTGAAAACACTATGCTAAGTGAAAGAAACCAGGCACAAAGGGACAAACATTGAACGATTCCAGTTATATGAAATATCTAGAACAGGCAAACTCAGATACAGAAAGTAGCTTAGATGTGAGCAGGGGCTAGAGGGAGGAGAAATGAGGAGTTACTGCTTAATGAGTACAAAGTTTCTGTTTATGATGATGAAACAGTTTTGGAAACAGAAGTGATAGTTGCACAACAGGAAATGTAACTAATTTGTCACTGAATTGTACACTTAAAAATGGTTAAAATAGGCGGGGCGCGGTGGCTCACACCTGTAATCCCAGCACTTTAGGAAGCCGAGGCGGGCAGATCACGAGGTCAGAAGATCGAGACCATCCTGGCTAACAACGGTGAAACCCCGTCCCTATTTTTTAAAAAAAGAAAAAAACATACAAAAAATTAGCCAGGCGTGGTGGCGGGCGCCTGTAGTCCCAGTTACTCGGGAGGCTGAGGCAGGAGAATGGCGTGAACCCGGGAGGCGGAGCTTGCAGTGAGACAAGATGGCGCCACTGCACTCCAGCCTGGGCCACAAAGCAAAACTCCGTCTCAAAAAAATAAAAGGTTAAAATGAGGCCAGGCGCTGTGGCTCATGACTGTAATCCCAGCACTTTGGGAGGCCGAGGCGGACGGATCATCTGTGGTCAAGAGTTTGAGACTAGCCTGGCTAACATGTCGAAACCCCGTCTCTACTAAAAATACCAAAATTAGCCGGGCGTGATGGCGCACGCCTGTAATCCCAGCTACTCTCGAGCCTGAAGCAAGAGAATCACTCGACCCTGGGGGGCGGAGGTTGCAGTGAGCCGAGATCACGCACGCCATTGCACTCCATCCAGCCTGGGCGACAGAGCGAGACTCCGTCTCAAAGAAATAAAGAAAAAGGTTAAAATGGCCAGTTTTAATGTTATATAGATCTTACCACAATTTTACAAGTTTCAGAGAAAGAGACCGAAGATCGATTGGGAAGAAGTTGAAATATGCCAAGCTGTGTAACAGCTAAGTTGACAAGCTTTCGGAAGATGGGGAATTTGTTTTTTTCTACTTCTTCATACTTTTATGAACTTTCCAAAGTGCCTCCGAAGAGCGGAACTCGACTTTTAGACTGAGAAAAGGAACGTAAAAGTAGAACGGCTGAGGAAAGGGGTTCGAGCCACATGGGAAAGGGTCAGGCGGCGGGCAGCCCGGGGGAGCCAGGGGAGCTGCGGGCCCGGCCTCCCTACCCGCTGCAGTTCCGGGCGGCGCCGGGGCCTCGCGGCCGCGCTGGAGAGGGAACTGGAGCCCGGGCAGGGGCAGTGGGCAGGGTCGGAGCCCGCCTGTATCTCGCGTGCGGCGCGGCGGTACTTGTCGGCCAGGTCCTGCAGTAGCGTGTTCTTCCGCAGGTGCGGCTGCTGCGCGGCGCCCTGGCGGCAAGTGGGGCAGGCCCAGCGGCGGGCGTCGCGGGCGCCCCACAGGGCCTCCAGGCAGTGGCGGCAGAAGCTGTGGCCGCAGGGCAGCGTGGCGGGCCAGTCCAGCAGCCCCTGGCAGATGATGCAGCCGAGGTCGTCCTCGGCCAGCCACACGGGAACGGCGGAGCCCAGGCCCAGGCCCGCCATGGCCAACAGGCGGCCGGGGCGCGGACGTCGGGGTTGAGCCGGGCGAGTCTCCTCAGGCTCCTCCCTCGCCCTTCCTCTTCCCCTTGCCCTCCTCCTTTTCTCGGCCGCCTTTTCTCCTCCTTCCTTGGCGCCACCCCGTCTCCTTCCTCCGATCCTGCTGAAAACAGACTTAGAGCCTCCAGTGCCCAGCTGGAAAGACAGAGCTGACCTTCAGTGGCGGCCTCTTGCCCTGGGAAACCAACATGCCGCGAGCTGCTAGAAACCCGCGGAGGTCTCCAAGATTCCCTTTAGCTGGATGTCCCTCCATTAAGATGCAGCACCGTTGGATGTCTTCGTCCGTTGGCTTAAAAAAAAATAAACAACAAAAAAGATGCAACACCGACAACTCTTGGGAGGAGAGGACTCCATTCAGCAGCTTATTTATGAGAATGAGCCCACGAAGTGTCATCCAGCTCCTCTAACAAGTAGCAGGGGATTAAAGATCACCGATGCACAGCCACAGGGAGCGTCCTCAAAAATGCTGATGTTCGGCCCCGCTCGCAGGGAGTCTGATTTCATTGTCTTGGGTGGAGCACGGGTATTTTGTAAAACCTCCCCCAGGTGATTCTGACGCGCATTCAAGGTTGAGTGAGCGAACCCTTGGCTTTTTAACTCGCAGGTATAATGCAGAGTTGTGCGCTGTGTCCTTACCGCCTTCTGCGGGATGTAAGCGCGTTTCCCAACAGACACTCGGACAAAATTCTAGAAAGTGTTTTCCTGAGAAGGCTCACTCACTCACTCACTTCGCATCCCAGTCCTAAACGCATTGCAACCAGAAAATGTTAGAGCTAAAAGAGCACCACGTCCTCCCAGATGACCCAAAGAGGTTAAAAAAAAAAAAAAGAGAAAAAAGAAAAACTTGCAGGCTCTCATGGTAACAATGAAGCGTCAGAGACTAAAACCCACAACTCCCCAATCTGTTGAAATGAACTAACAACGTCTCATGCTTTACTTTATCCTTTCTGGCCTGGGCTCAAAGTAGGTATCAGATAATACAAGTTTGTAGCCGACCTTTGGATCACTTGAAGTCAGGAGTTCAAGACCAGCCTGGCCAACATGGTGAACCCTCATCTCTACTGAAAATACAAAAAGAAAAGAAAAGAAAAGCCAGGCGCCCTGGCGCATGCCTGTAATCCCAGCTACTTGGGAGGCTGAGGCAGGAGAATCTCTTGAACCCGGGAGGCGGAGGTTTCAGTGAGCCAAGACTGCGCCACTGCACTCCAGCCTGGGCGACATAGGGAGACTCCGTCTCAAAAAAAAAAAAAAAAAAAAAAAGAAAAAAAAGAAAGAAAAGAAAGAAAAAAAAGCGTTTGTGGTTATTTCTAATACTGGAAGTGTCATGGAGTAGGCAGCGCTGCTCATCAACGTTTCCAGTGCTTTCCCTTTCTGGGCACATGGTAGGACTGGCACTTCCCTGACCCACTTGAAACACACAGAGGTAATATGTTACTTCCCACCAGCTTTAAAGGCGACTGAGCCGGCCATTGTATCCCTTTCTGCCAGCTGCCCCAATTATGGAGATGAAACCATCATCCGGTGACCTGGGTCACTGAGTGGCTAAGATGAGCAGACTCCCTGCCAACGCACCCTAGGATACGTAGTAAGAGGGAGAAGAAAACTAGGATGTATTCAGCTTACTGAGATTTAGTGGGTGTGTGCTGCTACAGCATAACCTAGCCTATCCTGACTGATGTATTACCTGGATCTTGTTCTAGAATCTCCGCATCGGAGTAAAATCGTAGTTTCTAAGAGCCTCTTTTTTTCTGTAAAACGGGCATGATACTAAACACTTAAACATGCTCAGATCTTCCAACTTAAAAAATGAAATCACTGGCGGGGCGTGGTGGCTTATGCCTGTAATCTCAGCACTTTGGGAGGCTGAGGCAGGTGGATTGCCTGAACTCAGGAGTTCGAGACCTGCCTGAGCAACATGGTGAAACCTTGCCTCTACAAAAAAAATACAAAAACTACCTAGACATGGTAGCGCAGGCCTGTGATCCCAGCTACTCAGGAGACTGAGGTGGGAGGATTGCTTGAGCCAGGGAGGTGGAGGCTGTAATGAGCCATGAGATCTCAGGAGGTCAAGACTGTGGTTAGCTGTGATCACACCACTTCACTCCAGCCTGGGGAAGGAGCTAGACCTAGTCTCAAAAAAATTAAAAATTAAAAAATAAAATAAAATCACCTTTGACCTGAGCCTCCCTGGAACCAGCTCTCCTCTTCTCCATTTCACAGCCAAGTTTCTGGAAAGAGTGAGTTAACCAGTAGTTTTCAAACTTTTTTCTTGGACACGCCCTAAAAGTTTTATGCAAAATCATGCAGTGGTTATAAGAAAGGGGGAAGTGGGGGCCGGGCGCAGTGGCTCACGCCTGTAATCCCAGCACTTTGGGAGGCTGAGGCGGGCGGATCATGAGGTCAGGAGATTGAGACCATTCTGGCTAACACGGTGAAACCCCGTCTCTACTAAAAAATACAAAAAAAATTAGCCGGGCGTGACGGCGGGAGCCTGTAGTCCCAGCTACTCAGGAGGCTGAGGGAGGAGAATGACCTGAACCCAGGAGGCGGAGCTTGCAGTGAGCTGAGTTCGCACCACTGCACTCCAGCCTGGGCGACAGAGCAAGACTCTGTCTCAAAAGAAAAAAAAAAAAGAAAGAAAGAAAGGGGGAAGGGGGAGAGTGGTCAGCTCTGGTAGTAAAAATATATTAGCAAATTCTTCATTTATATCAGATTTTTTTTTTTTTTGAGATGGAGTCTCACTTTGTTGCCCAGGCTGGAGTGGAGTGGAGTGGCACAATCTCGTCTCACTGCAACCTCCACCTCCCGGGTTCAAACCATTCTCCTGCCTCAGCCTCCGGAGTAGCTGAGATTACAGGCGCTCGCCACCATGCCCGGCTAATTTTGTATTTTTAGTAGAGATGGGGTTTCCCCATGTTGACAGGGTTTCTCCATGTTGGCCAGGCTTGTCTCGAACTCCTGACCTCAGGTGATCCGCCCACCTCATCCTCCCAAGTGCTAGGATTACAGAGGTGAGCCACCGCGCTCAGCCTACATCAGACATTTTGTCATTCTTGGCCGAGTGCGGTGGCTCATGCCTGTAATCCCAGGACTTTGGGAGGCCGAGGCAGGCGGATCATGAGGTCAGGAGTTCGAAAAATACAAAAAAAAATTAGCTGGGCGTAGTTGCAGGCACCTGTAATCCCAGCTACTCAGGAGGCTGAGGCAAGAGAATCATTTGAACCCGGGAGGTGAAGGTTGCCATGAGCCAAGATGGCACCATTGCACTCCAGCCTCGGCAACAGGGCAAGACTCCGTCTCAAAAAAAAAAAAAAAGAAATTTTGTCATTCTTTTATCTTTCTGAACTTGTATTTCCATTCCATTTCCTCCACAGAATTACATTCCAAAGCAATATATTTCATGCATGAAAGTCTTTTATCACTTTGTAATACTTCTCTACAACAAAAGTATGTATGTGTATTAAATTTTTAATTCTTCTTAACTTCCTGTGACAAAAAGGCTCTTGGTAAATTTTTTCCCCTGGATTTAATTATCAATATAATTACTATTAGCAGTCAAACAAAAGAAAAGTATGCTGCAATTTATAACTTTTATATAAATAAAATAACTTTTAAAGACAGTAAACATTTTATTGGAATGATAGCTATTAATAAGACAGATGGGCTCATTTCTTTCAAAAATGCATTTATGCCCAGGCACGGTGGCTCACATCTGTAATCCCAGCACTTTGAGAGGCCAAGGTGAGCGGAACACTTGAGGTCAGGAGTTTGAAACCAGCCTGGCCAACCTGGTGAAACCCTGCCTCTACCAAAAAATACAAAAATTAGCTGGGCATGGTGGCCTGAGGTCCCAGCTACTCCAGAGGCCGAGGCAGGAGAATTGCTTGAACTTAGGAGACGGAGGTTGTAGTGAGCTGAAATGGCACCACTGCACTCCAGTCTGGGCAACAGAGCAAGACTCTGTCAAAAAAAGAAGCATTTATCTATGAATGAACATTACTTAATGATAGACAAACTTTTGCAATAAATTCTATTTCTTTTATGTTTTTATGTGTGCCGAGAAATCTTGTTCACATGTATAAATAGATGACAAAATTGTCACTCATTTTGTTGAATACTTTTTGAGATATATGCAAAAAAGTCATATAGTGATAATCTCTCAATTAACAACTTGATTTGATTTTTCTTTAATTTTTGTTGAAAGCAAGAATTTGAGGTCGGGCGCGGTGGCTCACACCTGTAATCCCAGCACTTTGGGAGGCCGAGGCGTGTGGATCACGAGGTCAAGAGATCAAGACCATCCTGGCAAACACGGTGAAACCGCGTCTCTACTAAAAATACAAAAAAAAAAAAAAAATTAGCCAGGCACGGTGGCGGGCGCCTGTAGTCTCAGCTACTCGGGAGGCTGAGGCAGGAGAATGGTGTGAACCCTGGGAGGCAGAGCCTGCAGTGAGCCAAGATCGCGCCACTGCACTCCAGCCTGGGCGACAGCGAGACTCCATCTCAAAAACAAAAAAAAGAATTTGAAACACTTGTGTTACAAAAGTCGTTAGAAGTATTCACTTTAAAAATAAATAAATAAATACATAAAAATAAATAAAAAAATAAAATAAAATAAAAAAATAATAAAATAAAACTTAAAAATTAAATAAATAAATAAATAAAATAAAAATAAATTAAAAAAGATCAAATAAAAAAAGAAGTATTCACTTTCTCATTTTCTGGGTGTTATTGTAACGTGGCTGACTCCATCTTGCTGCTAGCCTCACAGGCTGGCTGTCTTCGCTCATTCCTGGGGTAGGCCAAGCTAACCGTGGAAGGAATTTAGTTTATAGTTTAAATTAGAAGCCAGGATGATAATAGTCCCTCCCTAAAACTAATCCTTTCCTTATTCAGGGGGCTGAAACCACCTTTGTAAAACCATTGAAAGGCCACAAAATTAAGTTTATGGGAGGGGCCTGAATTCTGCTGAGATGTTGACACAATTTCTATAATCCCTTACCTTCAGGAGTTATGTAGCCAGAAGTCACAAGATTTGTGGCTTCTTCAATTGCTCCTATAGATAACATCACTATTGTAGAATCTAAGATTGGTGGAGATGTTTTCCAGACTTACGCCACCAGGACTGGTGACTTGTGACTCAGTTGGCCATGTGGCCTCAACCAGAGGTGGACTCAGTTCATGAGGACGATTTTCCACACCCGTAATGACTGCATCCCCAACCAATCAGCAGCATCCATCCCCTAGTCCCCTGCCCACCAAACTGAAAAACCATAACCTCCAGCCTTTGGGGAGACTGATTTGACTGATAATTCCACTTCTCCCACATGGCCAACCTCACCTTAATGTTAATTAAACTCTTTCTTTACTGTTTTGCCTGTGCAGTGGGCAGGAAGAACCCGTTGGGTGATTACAGTATGCCAAAAAGACTTTGCCAAGGTTTAGCAAATGACTATCAATTAAAAGCAATTACACTTTAACTTAGAGACAGCTTGTTTACTGATATACTCAGAAAGGACTGGGAAAATTAGAATATTGTTTATTTTAATACACCATTGTCAATCTAATATTTTTTGGAAAGGTGCTTTTATGTTATGTATTTGAAATATATATACACACATACATATATGTATACATATATATATACATTTTTGGGTTTTTTTGTTTGTTTGTTTTGTTTTTTGAGACAGGGTCTTTGTTGCCCAGGCTGGAATGCAGTGGTGTGATCTCTGCTCACTGCAGCCTGGAGCTCCCAGGCTCAAGCCATCGCTTCAGTCCCACAAATAGCTGGGACTACAAGCACATGCCACCATGCCCTGTTATTGTATTTTTTATAGAGGCCAGGTTTTACCGTGTTGCCCAGGCTGATCTCAAACTCTCAGACTCAAGCAATTCTCCCATCTCAGCCTCCCAAAGTGCTGGGATTACAGCATGAGTCACCACGTCCAGCCCTGAAATTTTTCTATTCAAGTACATGTGTTAACACCCATCCCTGTGACACTAGGTTCTAATGCTAAATTAGATTTAAAAAATCAGAGCCAGGAGCAATGCCTCATGCTTGTAATCCCAGCATTTTGAGAGGCCGAGGAGGACGGATCACCTGAGGCCAGGAGTTCAAGACCAGCCTGGCCAACATGGTGAAACCTCATCTCTACTAAAAATACAAAAATTAGCCCGGTGCGGTGGCACACACCTGTAATCCCAGCTACTTGGGAGGCTGAGGAGGAGAATGGCTTGAACCTAGGAGGTGGAGGTTGCAGTGAGCCGAGATTGCACCACTGTACTCGAGCCTGGGCAACAGAGCAAGACTCCATCTAAAAAAAAAAAAAAAAGATAAGAAATGATGAGGTGCTTGAGTTTGTGTGCTGGATGAAATAAGGCACACTGCCATTAACATGTTTTTGTTTGTTTGTTTTGAGACAGAGTCTCCCTCTGTTGCCCAGGCTGGAGTGCACTGGCGCAATCTTGCCTCACTGCAAACTCCGCCTCTTGGGTTTAGGCGGTTCTCATGCCTCAGCCTTCCAAAGTGCTGGGATTACAGGCATGAACCACCACGCTCGGCCTAACATGTCCTATCAGTTTCTTTTCTTTGTTTTTACTAAATTCTTTTTTTTTTTTTTTTTTTTTTTTGAGATGAAGTCTCACTCTTGTCCTCCAGGCTGGAGTGCAATGGCACGATCTCGGCTCACTGCAACATTTGCCTCCCGGGTTCAAGCGATTCTCCTGCCTCAGCCTCCCAAGTAGCTGGGATTACAGGTGCATACCACCACGCCCAGCTAATTTTTTGTGTTTTAAGTAGAGACGGGGTTTCACCATGTTGGCCAGGCTGGTCTCAAATTCCTGACCTCAGGTGATCCGCCTGCCTCAGCCTCCCAAAGTGCTAGGATTACAGGCGTGAGCCACCGAGCCCAGCCTGTTTTTGCTAAATTCTTTCAGGGACAAAGCACTTTTTGTCAAGGGACGGAAGAGATCATTAAATTTCCATTATTCTTACTTCCACTCCACTTCATAATAAATGATTCAAATGCCCAAACATAAGCCAAAACACTGCTTAAAAACTTTTTTGGTAGAGAAGATCTTGAACGCTATGCTGTCCAGGCTGGTCTCAAACTCCTGGCCTCAAGTGATCCTCCCTTCTTGGCCTCCAAAGTGCTGGGATTATAGACATGAGCCATCACATCTGGCCTCACCCCATTTTTTTCTCACCCCATTATTAATGCCAAACTTTGTCAGCAACAAAAGTCAGCAAAAAACGAAGAAAGTCATGAACCCTAACCTTAATACCTTGATTAAAGAAGCCTTCACTGACACTCTTACAGAATGAAAAACTATGGACTGGAAGAAAATATTTACAAATCCAAGTCTGTATTCCTAGTATCCAGAATATATGAAGAACTCTCAAAATTCAACAGTAGAAAAAGCAAACCACCCAATTTTTTTTTTCTTGAGACAGAGTCTCACTCTGTCACCCAGGCTGGAGTGTGCAGTGGTGCGATCTCGGCTCACTGCAACCTCCACCTCCCGGGTTCACGCCATTCTCCTGCTTCAGCCTCCCGAGTAGCTGGGACTACAACCACACCCGGCTAATTTGTTGTATTTTTAGTAGAGACAGGGTTTCACCGTGTTAGCCAGGATGGTCTCGATCTCCTGACGTCGTGATCTGCCCACCTCAGCCTCCCAAAGTGCTGGGATTACAGGTGTGAGCCACTGTGCCCAGCCCAAACCACCCAATATTTTAAAAAGGCAAGCAGGGCACTGTGTCACATGCCTGTAGTTCCAGCTACTCAGGAGGCTGAGGCAGAAGGATCTCTTGAGGTGAGGGGTCTGTGGATGTAGTATGCCATGGTCATATCTGTGAATAGCCACTGTGCTCCAACCTGGGCAACATAGCAAGACCAGATCTCAAAAAAAAAAAAAAAAAAAAAAGCTAGGGAATCAAATGGTCACTTCATCAAAGAAGATATAAGATTGGCCAATAAGTACATAATAGGACTTCGACATTGTCAACCGCTAGGGAAATGCGTATTAGAACCATAATAAAATACCACTCCATACCTATCAGAACAGTTAAAATAAAAAATACTGACAACACCAACTGTTGGTGATAGAGTAACTGGAACTCTCATACATCACTAGTGAAATGTCAAGTAGTACAGCCACCGGGAAAGTTTGTTATAAAATTAAGCATATATCTAACCAAATGTTGATGGCTATTGTGATACCCTGGTTCTTGTCTTCTTAGTTTAAAAGAATTTAGGCCGGACACGGTGGCTCATGCCTGTAATCCCAGCACTTTGGGAGGCCCAGGCAGGCAGATCACGAATTCTGGAGATTGAGACCATCCTGGGTAACGTGGTGAAACCCCACCTCTACTAAAAATACAAAAAAGTAGCCGGGCGTGGTAGCAGGCGCCTGTGTCCCAGCTACTCGGGAGGCTGAGGCAGGAGAATGGCATGAACCCAAGAGGCGGAGCTTGCAGTGAGCCGAGATCGTGCCACTGCACTCCAGCCTGGGCAACAGAGCGAGACTCCATCTCAAAAAAAACAAAAATGTAAACAAGAGACACACAGCAAAAGAAGTGCAGCATAGGCCAGGCGCGGTGGCTCATGCCTGTAATCCCAGCACTTTGGGAGGCCGAAGTGGGTGGATCATGAGGTCAAGAATTCAAGACCATCCTGGCCAACATGGTGAAACCTCATATCTACTAAAAATACCAAAAATTAGCTGGATGTGATGGTGCATGCCTGTAATCCCAGCTACTTGGGAGGCAGAGGCAGGAGAATTGCTTGAACCAGGGAGTCAGAGGTTTCAGTGAGCCAAGATCACTCTACTGCACTCCAGCCTGGCGACACAGAGAGACTCCATCTCGGGAAAAAAAAAAAAGTGCAGCATAGAGTTATTTATTGTAAAGGAGAAAGAGGATTTTGAAAATTAAGTGCAGAATGGGCAGCACACTCAGAGAGAGGATTCAGGGTAGGCTGCTCATTTAAGGATGAGACAGCAAAAACTGGCACTAAGGAGACTCCCTTTATGGGAGTCTTATGTGATTATTCATAAGGAAGTGGAAAGAGGAGTTACTAGTAAGCATGTTCTGGGTGGTCTTCTGGGTGCACATGCACAGTAGTTTACATGCTTGTTCATACACCACATGTCTCATTACCATCTTAAATTTCCACCCAGGGGTGTATTTTTTACTATTAAAATAAGCAAAGGGTCAGTTTGAGACCAGGTAAAATCAAAGTGTGCATGCTGTCAGGGCCGGGCGCGGTGGCTCACGCATGTAATCCCAGCATTTTGGGAGGCTGAGGTGGGTGGATCACCTGAGGTCGGGAGTTTGAGAGCAGCCTGGCCAACATAATGAAATCCCATCTCTACAGAAAAATACAAAAATTAGCTGGGCATGGTGGCATGTGCCTGTGGTCCCAGCTACTCAGGAGGCTGAGGCAGAAGAATTGCTTGAACCTGGGAGGCAGAGGTTGTAGTGAGCCGGGATGACACCACTGCACTCCAGCCTGGGTGACAGAGCAAGACTCCATCTCAGAAAAAGGAAAGGACAGGAGAGGAGAGGGGAGAGGAGGGGAGGGGAGGTGAACCGCAAAGTTTGCATGCTGTCTACATGGGAAATTCCCTACTGCAGATAGCTTTGCTTGAATTAGCTCAGTTGCATTGTGAATGCTGAGGCTTATTGTGTTGACTGAATGGTCAGCATGATTGCTGTGTCCTGAGACCCTGGTTACTTCCTTGACTACCTACCCTGCATCAGTATGAACCAGAAGCCCCATACCTGGGGACTGTTGTATGTATGAATAATTTGTTCCTTTTTATTGCTAAGCAGCATTCCACTGGATAAACAAGGTATGGTATAGCCATATAGTGGAATACTTCTTAGCAATAAGGAAAGACATATTGACACATGCAGTGACTTTGATGAATCTCAAAGGTATCATGTGCTGTGAAAGAATCCAGTCTTTAAAAATTACAGGCCTGGCGTGGTGGCTCATGCCTGTAATCCCAGCACTTTGGGAGGCCGAGGCAGGTGGATCACGAGGTTGGGAGATCGAGACCCTCCTGGCTAACATGATGAAACCCTGTCTCTACTAAAAATACAAAAAATTAGCCAGGCATAGTGGCGGGCGCCTGTAGTCCCAGCTACTCGGGAGGCTGAGGCAGGAGAATGGCGTGAACCCGGGAGGCGGAGCTTGCAGCGAGCCGAGATTGCGCCACTGCACTCCAGCCTGGGCGACAGAGCAAGACTCTGTCTCAAAAAAAAAAAAATAAAATAAAATAAATAAAATAAAATAAAATAAAATAAAATAAAAATTACATATTAAATGATTCCATTTATATGGCATTTTTGAAAGTACAATCTATAATGATGAACGGATCAATGGTTGCCACGGGGCAGGGGAAGGGTGTGGCTACAAGGGAGTTTTGGGGTGTGACATAACTGTTCTTTGCTGAAGCAGAGTCTCACTCTGTCACCCAGGCTGGAGTGCAGTGGTGAGACCATAGCTCACTGCAGTCTTGAAATCTCAGGCTTAAGTGGGAGTTCAGCCTTGAGTAGCTGGGACTACAGGCACATGCCACCATGCCTGGCTTTTTTTTTTTTCTTTTTCTTTTTCTTTTTTTGAGACGGAGTCTCACTCTGTCGCCAGGCTGGAGTGCAGTGGCGCAATCTTGGTTCACTGCAACCTCCGCCTGCCGGGTTCAAGCGATTCTCCTGCCTCAGCTTCCTGAGTAGCTGGGACTACAGGCACGTGCCACCACAGTCAGCTAATTTTTGTATTTTTAGTAGAGACGGGGTTTCACCATGTTGGCCAGGATGGTCTTGATCTCCTGACCTCATGATCTGCCTGCCTCGGCCTCCCAAAGTGCTAGGATTATAGGCGTGAGCCACCGTGCCCGGCCAATAAATTTCTTTCTATAGCCATATATATATATATGTATATCATTGGTTCTGTTTCTCTGGAGAACGCTAATACAAGTGAAGTGTGATTCAAATTTTCTTTTCTTTTTCTTTTTTTTTTTTTTGGAGACGGAGTCTCACTCTGTCACCCAGGCTGGAGTGCATAACCCCCCAGGCCCAAGCAAGCCTCCCACCTCTGCCTCCTGAGTAGCTGGGACTACAGGCATGCATTACAGTGCCCATGCCTAGCTATTTTCTTTTTTTAGACGGAGTTTCCCTCTTGTCGCCCAGGCTGCAGTGCAATGGCTGTTCACAGGCATGATCCCTCTACTGACCAGCACGGAAGTGCTTCATTTCTGATCTGGGCCAGTTCACCCCTCCTTAGGCAAACTGGTGATTCCTCACTCCTGGGAGGTCACCATGTTGATGCCAAATTTAGTGTGGACACCCAATTAGCATTGTGCACTAAAGCCCAGAACTCCTGGGCTCAAATGATCTTCCCACCTCACCCTCCCCAGTAGCTAGGACTACAGGCACGTGCACACCTGATATCTCTGAGCCTTTACACATGCTTCTTTCTCTGCCTCCTCCCACCCCAACCCAACTATCTTCTACTCTTTCTTCAGGATTCAGCATAGGTATCATCTCTTTTAGAGAACTTTATCTGTCAGGACTGATTCAAGTAATAGAAACTTCCTTGCACTAACAAGCCAAAAAGGGAAAAAGGGATTTAATATAAGAGTATAGAAGCATACTCTTCCTTGAGGAAGGAATCATCCAAAACCAAGCACTCCATTTCATTAGGACTTTATCTCTTGTGTCTGTTCTTTCCCACCCTTAGAATCCCAGTTGGCCTCTTCAAGTAGCTTTGTTACTGCCTATCTATACTTCTCGTTCTTCTCCTCTAGACCATAAGTTCCTTGAAGGCAAGACTGTACCTTTATTAATTTCCTCATCCCCAGAACTTAGCAGAGTACACCCAACAGAGTTCACAGGTGGTCAAAGAGGCAGACAAGTAAACTGGCCCTTAATGCACAACCCAGCAAGTGTCCTTGAAAATGCACATTTTCAAGGTGCTTCCAGAGCCAGAGGAGATAGAGAGGACTCACCTCCCTATCTGGGCAGTCGAGAAGCTTCAGGAAGGACACAGGCTTACGCATTGCTTATCCTTTGATTGGGGGATCCAAAGGAAAGTCCCATACAATGCATAGATTTTTTTTTTTTTTGAGATAGGGTCTCACTCTGTCACCCAGGCTAAGTAAAGTGGTGCAATGAGGGGTCACTGTAGCCATGACCTCCCTGGCTCAAGTGATCCTCTCACATCAGTGTCCGGAGTAGCTGGGACTACAGGCATTCATTACCATGTCCAGCTAATTTTTTTTTCTTTGTAGAGATGGGGTCTCACTATGTTGCCCAGGCTCTTCTCGAACTCCTGGTCTCAATCCTCCTGCCTCAGCTTCCCAAAGGGCTGGGATTATGGGCATGAGCCATCACACCCAGCCACGGAGAATCAGAGAGTCTCTTAAGAGACCTCCCAGCTCCTTGGGTCTCCATTGAAGCAAAGAGAGAACATCCAGTGTATTTCTGCGTGGTGCTTGAAGACAGAGGAAAGGAACAACGAGTCACAGAGCAGGGGACTTGGTGCTCTGTTTCTCTAACATTTCAGCCATCTGAGATTTCATTCAGTTCCTCTTTTTCTTTCTGATACGGAGTCTCGCTCTGTCACCCAGGCTGGAATGCAATGGCGCAATCTCACTGCGCCCGGCCATTGACTACTTTATCTTTCACTCTTCATTTTTGAAGAGTCTGGGTCAGATGTTTAGCAGAATGCCCCTAATGTGGATTTGTCTGATTATTTCCTCATGGTTAGATTCAGATTAAACTTTTTTTTTTTTTTTACAAGATGCCACTTGCATGATGCTGTGGGTGCCTTTTCATTGCAATGCCTCCATTTCAGATGTGAGAAAGTTCTGGGCCTGTAGGGCATTTCAAGCCTAGGTGTGTATGGGGGAGGAGGGGATAGATGTTCATCTATGCACCAGATCCTCAGATCCCCGAGGTGGGTTGCGGGGAAGGCCCAGGGAGCTGATGGATAAAGCCACAGCTTCAGTCCTGGCAGAGTTCACTGCCAGGAATGGCTGCTGACTGCGGGGCACTGATGGTGGGCAGCCAGGGCCGAGGTGCAAACTTCTTCCCACAAGGAGTTCCAGGTGTTCAGTGGCAGCCAGTTCCTCAGTTAATGGGTCACCTGCTGCTGCGGCCACTCTCTGTTGATGCAGCTGCAAGGGAAATGAAGAGGGCTGAGGGAGGTGGCCATGCCAATGCTGTCCTGTGGAGGAGAGGGACAGCAAAGGGACAGGCGTACAAAGACAGAGGGAGCCATGGCCGGGCACAGTGGCTCATGCCTGTAATCCCAGCACTTTGGGAGGCCGAGGCAGGTGGATCACTTGAGCTCAGGAGTTCGAGACCAGCCTGAGCAACATGGTGAAACTCTGTCTCTACCAAAAATACAAAACAAATTAGCTAGATGTGGTGTCACGAGCCTGTAGTCCCAGCTACTTGGGAGGCTGAGGTGAGAGGATTGCCTGAGCCCAGGAAGAAGAGGTTGCAGTGAGCTGAGATCGCACCACTGCACTCCAGCCTGGGTGACAGTGCAAGACCCCACCTCAAAAAAAGAAAATTAAAAAAAAAAACACAAAGACAGAGGGAGCCAGAATAAAAAACAGAATGAAAGAGTGAGAGCCAGGGCGTCAGAGGGAATGCACACACCAGCAAAGGAGAGAAAAGTGGAGGGACAGAGACAGAGAGAAACCAAGAGATTCATAAATGGCAGCCCACAGAGAAAAGAAAGCACCAGCTGATATGCCTCACTCACAATTTGCAAGTCCCTTTCTGAGGTTCTCTGGCTTTGGCCTTTATGGGACAGTCAAGAGAGTCTGTGTTTATATCAGTCAGACTCAAAGGGCACAAGTGTTTCCCCCAAGGGGCTGTGCGGGGGTCACCTGCTCAGTCTGTACTTTTCCAAACACAGAAATTCTCCTTTGTGCCCCAGAAGCCAGGTCCTGGGCCAGCAGTTTCCTGCCGGAGCTCGGCATGTCTCCCCTTTTTTCACAGGGCTGTCAGCATTGAGGAAGCCCTACTGGTAAAGAGGAGGAACAGGAGAGAGGCAGACAGAAGGGAGGACTCAAAGAAAAGAAGCCACTAGAAATAGCCTTCCCTCTGGAGTGGGGAGGAATCCAAAAATCCCAGGAGCTGCCCAGCGGGTGTGACCTTAGCTAATAATAACAGGCCAGCGTTTTCTCACGAGAAAAAGGATCAGCATAGAGCACGGTGGAGGGAAAGAGAAGCTGCTTAGCCCCCACACCGCAAGGGGTACAGACAGCACCCAGGGGTTCTGCCAGGGCCAAACTCCTCTAAAAGCTCCTGGGGAAGGGCTCGGTTAGGGGAACCCAGAGTGGACAGAGGAGACCTTTTGGCAATAATGGCATGTCTGTGCTTTTCTTTTGCAGGAAGAGAAGACAATGAAAAGAGCATAGTCAGGAATCAGGAATCTTTTGTGGTATCAAAGCTGAACCTAAGTGAAGAAGCAATTTTCTGTCCTCTGCCCTTGTCCAAAAGAACACCCCTCAGTTCCTGCTTCTTACTAAGCCGGTTGAGGGGCGTCAAGGGGCTGGACAGGACACCCCGCAAACTTTCCAGCCATTCCTGCTGTTCCTTCTCACTGGGGCAAGTGAGGACAAATCTCCGCTCTGGGGTGACAATGGTGAGTCCGGCTTTCCAGCGATTTCCTCGGATGCCCTTGGGCAGGTCTTCGTAGGCTTCATATCCCTGCTCCTTGTTCCCAAGAAAAACCTGGCCCTGCTCGAAGGCATCCTGAAAATGGAGAGTACAGGGTCATCAGAGGGTGCCCCCAGGGCAGAGGGGCCCTGCAGCCCTGACAGCCTCCAAGCTTTATTTTGGGAAAGGGGTATGAGGTCCCTGCTGGGATTTCTGCTAAGTGGGACCCAGAATTTGAAAGATCAAAACCCTAAAATAAATCATACACATCATCTATTGAAAAGATACCGAGGGTGGGCCTGGTAGTTCATGCCTGTAATCCTAGCACTTTGGGAAGCCAAGGCAGAGGATTGCCTGAGGCCAGGAATATGAGACCAACCGGGACAACATAGTGAGACCCCTTCTCTACAAAAAAAAATTATTAATTATTATTATGAATTGTTTTTGGAGACAGGGCCTCACTCTGTCACCCAGGCTGGAAGTGCAGTGGCACAATCATGGCTCATCCCAGCCTCAACCTCCCAGGCTCAGGCAATCCTCCCACCTCAGCCTCCCAAGCAGCTAGGACTACAGGCATGCACCACCACACCTGACTAATTTTTAAGTTTCTTTTTTTTTCTTTCTTTTTTTTTTTTTGAGACGGAGTCTCACTCTGCACCCAGGCTGGAGTGCAATGGCATGCACCCTCTGCACCCTCTGCCTCCCGGTTTCAAGCGATTCTCCTGCCTCAGCCTCCTGAGTAGCTGGGCTTACAGGCACGCACCACCACGTCCGGCTAATTTTTGTATTTTTAGTAGAGACAGGGTTTCACCATGTTGGTTAGGCTAGTCTCGAACTCCTGAGCTCGTGATCTGCCCCGCCTCAGCCTTCCAAAATGCTGGGTTTACAGATGTGAGCCACCGTGCCTGGCCTTAAGTTTCTTGTAGAGATGGGATCTCACTATGTTGCACAGGCTGGTCTCGAACTTCTGGGCTCAAGCGATCCTCCTGTCTCAGCCTCCCAAAGTGCTGGGATTACAGACAAAAGGCAGCACATCCAGCCCTAAATTTTTTTTTTTTAATTAGCTGGGCATGGTGATGCATGCCTGTATTCTGAGCTACTTAGGAGGCTGAGGCAGGAAGATAACTTGGGCCCAGAAGTTCAAGGTTGCAATGAGCTGTGATTGTGCCACTGCATTCCAGCCTGGGTGACAGAGAGAGACTCTGTCTCTAAAAAAAAAAAAATAAGTGATACCTAACATTTACGGAGCACTTATTAAAATCAGCATCAGGAATTACAATGCTTTATATATAGTAACTTAAATAACCATCATGGCAACCTCTGGGGAAGGCATTCTTATTAAGCCTGTTTTTCAGAGGAGGAAACCGAGGCACAGAGCACTAAGTACACGGCTCAAGGCAACACTACTACAAGTGGCAGGGCTGAGACCAGAGCCCAGACGGTGGGGTTCTAGAGTCCACCACACTCCTAACTACTACACATCACGGCCTCTTGGTTAGAAGTGAGCCCTGGAGACTAGAGGAAGAGATACACCATATTTAACTACCATGGGCAGCATTTTGGATACTCATAATAGACTTCCTGAAAGCGAGGAGAAGCTTCATGCCATAGGAGATTACTCAAGAGAAACAAAAACAAGGGGTAGAGGTTTTCCTCTCAAGGTTTCTCTAGCTCTGGGGCTCTGGGAGATGTGTTTATCTGTAGCTTTCACATAGTTCCAGACAAGCACCACCCAGCAATGTTTGAGGAAGCCCTGGGGAGGGAGCAGGAGTGGCTCTTACCAGTGGGTTCTTGTAATAGAGCAGCCTCCGCTCATGGCAATCCAGGGCGAACCACCTTTTCTTGAAAGGTTCTTTCTGCTGCAAAAGAGGGAACTTCTTACCACAGATGACCAGGTCAGTTTCTGAGGATAGAGGTCAGGGGCCAGCCCAGCCCAAACCAAAGGAGCTGGCCAGTCCCACTGGTTCTCCAGCCCAGCCTCCTCAGTCAGACATCCTAGTGCTTCTCCCTGGGGCCTGGATAGGAGCCCTCAGGCTCTGAAGGTTCTGCCCATTCCCCTTCCAACCCCACCATACCCTTTGCCAGCTTCACCCTGCTGCCTCAACTTGGAAGAGGCACCTTCCTCTTTTTCAGGCTGTAGACAAAGAAGCCGGAAAGGAAGTTGGAAAAAATCAGAAGTGGCTACTGCTTGGCAAGGCTGAAAGTGCTGGCCTTGGCCAAATTCTAACCTAGGTCAGGGAGAGAAAGCCCAGCAACAAGAACCAGGCGGAGGGGCTGCGCCTCTCTGAAAACAACCCTTTGACTGCTTTTTCCACCTGCCCAAGGCTTGCTTTCATGATTGCCTAACACAGGAATATCCAATCTCTTGCCTTCCCTGGGCCACATTGGAAGAATTGTCTTGGGCCACACATAAAATACACTAACACTAATGATAGCTGATGAGCCAAAAAAAAAAAATCGCAAAAATATCTCATAATGTTTTAAGAAAGTTCACGAATTTGGCTGGGCATGGTGGCTCATGCCTGTAATCCCAGCACTTTGGGAGGCTGAGGTGGGCAGATCGCTTGAGGTCAGGAGTTCGAGACCAGCCTGGCCAACATGGTGAAACCCCATCTCTACTAAAATTACAAAAATTAGCCGGGCATGGTGGTGGGCACCTGTAATCCCAGCTACTCAGGAGTCTGAGGCAGGAGAATCGCTTGAATCTGGGAGGCGGAGGTTGCAGTGAGCCGAGATCACACCACTGTACTCTGGCCTGGGTGACAGAGCAAGACTCTGTCTCAAAAAAATTTAAAAAAGAAAGTTTATGAATTTCTGTTGGGCATCATTCCAAGCCGTCCTGGGTTGCATGTGGCCCATGGGCTGTGGGTTGGACAAGCTTGGCCTAACACCTTTCACTGTCCTCTTAACAATCATCCCATAAACACATGAAACCTTCTATATACATTAAACCATATTAAGTTCCCCAGGGAGTGATAGAAGGTACCTTTGGCCCAGTCTTTTCCATGAAGCCTTGTTTGAGGTAGTTCCTGGTGAGGAATGGCACGAGCTGGGGAAGAGAGACAGACACTGACCCCCAACTCACACCCCAAGGCTCCAGGTTCCCGCCGAGCTTGGCTCCCGACAAAGGGGAAGTTTGAAATGGGGAAGGATGTACGCTCATGGCTCACAGTATTATATTTGGAAAGTGCAATGGTCATAATATTAATATTTCAACAAAGCCAGTCGACAGCACCCCAGATGTTTGCAGAGCTTAGTGGCACGGCCGAGTTTTGGTTTAAGGATTCCTTCAGTAACCCCAGGGTGTGGACATAGGCAAGGCTCTGCAGAGACCCTCTTGGTGTCAGGCAACATGTTCTGAGGGTCCACTTTGCATCAGGCTCCAGGTGCAATTCTCAATCACCCTGCGAGGTGGGTATCACCAGCCTCATTACACATCTGAAGAAACCAGGCCACAGAGAAGGGGCTGGGGATTTTCCCAAAGTCACATCACTGGTAGCACAAAGAGCTGAGATTCAGGCCCAGGGCCAATGACACTAGACTGTACTCCTACCACTACACTAGGTGCTAAAGTATAAATATGCCAGGGCCCTCTGAGCAGGACCTTGGGAAAGGCCTGGTCAGGATTCTGACACCAAGCAACAAGAAAATAATGGCCAGAGGCTGGGTGCAGTGGCTCACACCTGTAATCCCAGCACTTTGGGAGGTCAAGGCAGGCAGATCACTTGAGGCCAGGAGTTTGAGACTAGCCTGGCCAACATGGCGAAACCCCACCTTTACCAAAAATATAAAAATTAGCTGGGCATGGTGGCACGCGCTTGTAATCCCAGCTACTCAGGAGGCTGAGGCAAGAGAATCCCTTGAACTTGGGAGGCAGAGGTTGCAGTGAGCTGAGATAGTGCCACTGCACTCCAGTCTGGGTGACAGAGGGAGACTCCATCTCAAAACAAAACAAAACAAAAAAGAAAAGAAAATGATGCCAGAGTGGACAGAGAAAGTTCTGAAGCAGAAGTCGGGAGACCTGGTTCTAATTCCAGTTCTGGCCTCCATCAGCTGCATTACCTTTGTTAAGACCTTCTGTCTCTCGAGGCCTTATGTCTCCCCTGTGTGATAAACAGCCTGGATCATGTGATCCCCAGCATCCCTTCCAGCCTGGCAGCCTACGCCCAGAGATGTTTCCAGGGGTTGATGATGGCCTCCTATGCTCCTAGGCATCAACCTGGAAAGTCTAGAGCTTCAAATGACAGTCCAGGCTTCAAAGAACAGAGAGGCTTCTCCAGAGCTCCAGGGCCCAGGGCAGAGGCACAGGGGAAGTGAGGTCTGGGGAACAGCTATGGGAAGTTTAAAAGGGGGAAATTTGTGAGCCAAAAATGAAAATATTAGGCCAGGCGCAGTGGCTCACGCCTGTAATCCCAGCACTTTGGGAGGCCGAGGCGTGTGGATCACGAGGTCAGGAGATCGAGACCATCCTGGCTAACACGGTGAAACCCCGTCTCCACTAAAAATACAAAAAAGTAGCCGGGTGCAGTGGCGAGCGCCTGTAGTCCCAGCTACTCGGGAGGCTGAGGCAGGAGAATGGCGTGAACCTGGGAGGCGGAGCTTGCAGTGAGCCAAGATGGCGCCACTGCACTCTGGCCTGGGCGAAAGAGCGAGACTCTGTCTCAAAAAAAAAAAAAAAAAAAGAAAAGAAAAGAAAATATTGGTCAGATGCAGTGGCTCACACCTGTAATCCCAGCACTTTGGGAGGCCGAGGTAGGAGGATTGCTTGAGGCCAGAAGTTCGAGACCAGCCTGGGCAACATAAGTGAGACATCATCTCTATAAAAAATTAAAAAAAAATTTTTAATGTAAGAAACAAGATATAAACTGTACTACTCCCCTTCTCTTAAAATACATTCACTAGGCTTTAATTGTTCCATTTGGAGAAAACAGATGGAGTCCCGAACTGCTCAATATTCGGAATTTGAGCCAGCACAGAGCAAGCAGAGGCCTAGGGAAACCATTGGGAAAAAAAGGAAAGTCACATGGCTGGAGCACTGCTTCCTGTACTTCTGATGCCTTGGCTCGCTGGAGTCTCACAATAGCCCTAGAAAGTAGGTACTATCACCTAGGCAAGTCACCTCACCTCTCTGAGCCTCGATGCACTCATCTGTCACCATGGCGACAAAACCTACTTTCTCTGAAGTCCAAGAGACCATATGCATTTATTACAGGACCACAGACCCCACTGGGATGCCCTGGGTTTCCAACATGTGGACCCCTAAAGCTTGAGCCAGGCCTGGTGATTGCTCAGAACCTCACACCATACACAGACATTAAATGGGAGGAAAGACACGGGATGGATATCAGGTACCGACAGTGGATGAGAGAGGCAGGGGAACATTGAGGATGTTGACCAAAGAGCAATTTCCTTTACACATGTCAGCAAAGATGGGCAGCTTGCCCAGATTAAATAAGGCTGAGCATCTGCACTTTGTCCTCCCTCCTCATAGTCAGCAGTCAGCAGTCTCCACTCCCCGCCCATGGGAGCCAGCATTAACCAGTTCTGGGTGCAAACTCAGCAGACTGACTCAAGGGCTCTGACTCGGGCCTTGCTGGAATTGCTCCCAGAGAGCTGCCATCTCAGCACATCCCTGGGCCTGGAGGGGACCCTATTCCAGACAACTGGCTCCCTACAAACCTTGGAATTAAGGAGCATTTAGGCTTTCAAGGAAACTCTAATGGTTGAGATTAAGAAAATCCCAGCATTAAAATGGTTTTCCAGCCCCATCACTTATAAAATCCTCTTGGAGGGGAGCCTCTTGAAGAGGACCAGAGCATAGAATCTCAGAGGCGGAAGGGACCCTGAAGATGACCTGGACTAACCGCCATCTTACCCATATGGAAATAGAAGCTCAGAGGGGTGCCAGGACCTGCAGGGGTCACACAGCAAGTGAGCAATAGAGCATCCCTGAGAGCCCAGGCTTCCTGGCTCGAGACAGCATCCTCTGCCCTACACCATGCGGGTCTCCCTGGCCCAGCCTGAGATAGGGAGATGAAGGCCCCAGAAGTCTGGAGACAATCAAAATGAAGTTCTCGGCTCCCCATGATGTTGGCCATGAAGGGCATACCTGCTCCTGTTACAACTGTAATGGAGAGGATCCCAGGCTTTCCCAAGCCCAGAGCATCACAGGGCAAAGAGGGGATTTTAGAAAGGGAAGCACACCTTTGGTTATTCACCTGCCCTTCCTGGGACTGTATAACTCATCAGTGAAATGGAAATAATCACCCCTGCCTGGCTGCCATTTCACAAGACAAAATGGGCTCAAAGCACTCTGTAAGCAGTATGTTAGGGATCATTTGTACATTTTAGAGGGAGAAGGGTTCAGAAAGAGATGACCAATTGCTGAGCCCCTTGACACTCTTCTGAAGGGGAGACACTGACCAGCTTTTGGGAGGCCGCCTTGTCGTATGTGAGGCTGTAACCCCCGCAGGCTCCCCTGGAGAATGCCTTGGGCTTCCCTCTGAGCAGCCCAGCCCTCAACCTCGAGGTCTTGCCTGCAAACAAAACTAGTCTGGCTTCTTCTTCTTTTTTTTTTTTTTTTTTTTTGAGACGGAGTCTCACTCTGTCACCCAGGCTGGAGTGCAGCGGCGCCATCTGGGCTCACTGCAAGCTCCGCCTCCCGGGTTAACACCATTCTCCTGCCTCAGCCTCCCAAGTAGCTGGGACTACAGGCGCCTGCCACCACACCTGGCTAATTTTTTTGTATTTTTAGTAGAGACGGGGTTTCACCGTGCTAGCCAGGATGGTCTCGATCTCCTGACCTTGTGATCCGCCCGCCTCAGCCTCCCAAAGTGCTGGGATTACAGGCGTGAGCCACCGCGCCCAGCCCTAGTCTGGCTTCTGAGTGTCTTCGAGGTCAACAGACAGGGAAAGAAGGAGATGGCCAAGAGGAGATTCAGAAATTGGGGTCCGCATTTAGCTCACCTCAGACTCTGGGAGTTCAGGAAAGGCCATTTTTAGGTACTGCAGACGGGCTGCACGGAGGGCATTGAACCAGTCCACTATCTCCTGCGGAGAGAAGTGCACAGGACACACACACAGCAGTGAGATGGGGTGGGTGGGAAGCTACCTCTGGTGGCGGGAAGCTAGCTGGGCATTGGGTGTGGGGCACATATATTCAGCACCTGCACACACCCCACAGCTCGGCTCAGGGGCATCCAGGGAGGATTGTGTCAGAGCCTCGTGGGCTAACCCGGGCAAGCAGGAAGCCTCTGACAGGGATAACCCCAGAGCCCTGGAAAAGGATTGAGTGAACTGCATGGGAGTTCTGCAATGGCCTCGGACAGTGCTTTTCACCTTCTAATGCGTGCAAAATCACCTGAGGCTCTTGTTAAAATGCAGAGGCATATCCAGTAGGTTTGGAATGGGGCCCAAGACTCTGCATTCCTAACACGCTCTCAGGTGATATGATGCTGCTAGTCAGTGGAATGCACTCTAAGGAGCAAGGCTCTAGGAAATCATTGTCCTCAGATGTCAAAGATTGGCATTTGGGTGGGGAGCAGTTATGCCTGGGGATGCTCCTCTAATGAGGATGCTCATGGCAACTTAGGCCAAAGCTGGCTTGGCCCCTTCTGCTGTCACTCTGAGAGAACATGTCCCTCAGCAGCCTGGGCCACCTTCATCTCCCACATAGACAACCATGTATCTAGCTGGCCTTGATCAGCTGCTCTCTGACTGGCCCTCTCATGGCAGCCTGAGTGATTTTCCTTTATTTATTTTTTTTTAGATGGAGTCTCATGCTGTCGCCGAGGCTAGAGTGTGCAGTGGTGCGATCTTGGCTCACTGCAACCTCCGCCTTCTGGGTTCACACCATTCTCCTGCCTCAGCCTCCCGAGTAGCTGGGACTACAGGCGCCCACCACCACACGGCTAATTTTTTTTTTTTTTGTATTTTTAGTAGTGACAGGGTTTCACCACGTTAGCCAGGATGGTCTCGTGATCTGCCCGCCTCGGCCTCCCAAAGTGCTGGGATTACAGGCGTGAGCCACAGCGCCCAGCCTGTAGCCAGAGTGATTTTCTAATTACAAATCTAATCAGTCTGGCTTGGAGTCCTGTCTACTACCCTCAGAAAAAAAAGTCTTAAGTTCTTTACTATGATTTTGCTGTCTGAGCTCCTTCCATGCAAAACTATTTGCAATTCTCCCAACACCTACTGTTCCTTCCTCTCGGGACATTCTGCTTAGCCCGCTCCATCCCACACACACCTTTTACGCAAAACATTCCACTTATCCCGCAGGTTAGTTTTGATGTTGTAATAGATAGATTTTTGGTGCTTGCTCAGCCCAAGCCCTGCTTCTGTGAGAACTACCCCGCCTATCTTCACCCAACCCCAGTTGCAGCCCCATTTACTGCTGTGATCCTGCCCCTGCTTAACCACAGCAACTGGACCAGGCCTGGAGCAACACAGAGGCTGGACTGGGCTTATCAGATTCCTTCTCCCAGGAATTTGGAATTGGGAGGCTAAAGGCTTGTTCAAATAGTGGTAGTTTGTGACTTTGATATAATGTGGTGATTGAGAAAGTCATCTGAATATGGTTTAAAAGGAATGAAACCATTTCTCTTTCTCTCTCATAGGCGAAGCACACAGGCCTAGTATTCCAGGGATCTGTGCTCTCTTGTCCTGGGGTTCATTAAGGACCCTCTGGCCAGGTGCAGTGGCTCACGCCTGTAATCCCAACACTCTGGGAGGCCGAGGCGGGTGGATCACCTGAGGTCAGGAATTTGAGACCAGCCTGACCAACATGGTGAAACCCCATCTCTACTAAAAATACAAAATTAGCCGGGTATGGTGGTACATGCCTGTAATCTCAGCTACTCAAGAGGCTGAGGCTGGAGAATTGCTTTAACCTGGGAGGTGGAGGTTGCAGTGAGCCGAGATTGCACCACTGCACTCCAGTCTGGGTGACAGAGCGAGACTCTGTCTCAAAAAAAAACCTTAGGTCTCAGACACTAAGGGAATGGGGCCAGTCCAGAAAAGACACACCTAGGCCTTCACCTTGGAAGGTCTCTCCAGTCATAATCTGGTGATCCTGGTGCCAAATCCAACCTGCATACATGTCTGTTTGCTCCTAAAGTTTTGTTTGTTTCAATCCTCCATGCAGGTTTTCCTGTTTGCCACAGCCCCCTCCCCATCCCTTATGCCTGTCCATTTAGCTTTTAAATCACCCCCTGACTCCTGCAGGCAGGAATCTGGAGCCCTCATTTATGCCCATCTAACAGACAGGCTGGGGCATCAAGCAAAAGAGAAGAATGGCCAGACCCAGGTTGTCAGATGCACCATACTGGGCAGATAGGAGGGAGCTGGGTATCCTAAGTGCCAGAGACCTTGGGTGCCTCAGTAAAAGTCCTTATGGCAGTGATTGGCATGGAGAGGGGGCTAGGGCCATGGTGCTAGGGGCCCCTTAGGAAGGTCTAGTCCCTGCATCTGGTTCCTGGCTCCTGCTGCCAAGTGTCCTTCCTACAGCAGAGGCACATGGCAGGTAAAGTGGGTGCAGGGCTGTGACCCTGAGCAAGTTACTAACATGTCCGTGACTCAATAATGTGGGGCTTGTTTTCAGGATTAAGAAATGATGGACAGCAATCACCAAAAGCAGTGCCCAGGGGAGTTAATAGATGGTCACAAAATGTCAGCACCCACCTTCATCCACCCCCACTCAGCATCTCTGTCCCCTGCCTAGTTATGTGACCCTGCTCAGGACCTGACCCAGCTTATTCTGTTATATTGGCTTATTCATCTCTGACTGGGCAGATTTCCTGGACTATTAAATAGTGCTTCTCAGCCGGGCGCAGTAGCTCACCCCTGTAATCCCAGCACTTTGGGAGGCCAAGGTGGGCAGATCACTTGAGGTCAGGAATTCAAGACCAGCCTGGCCAACATAGTGAAACTCTGTGTCTACTAAAAATACAAAAAAATTAGCTGGGTGTGATCTCAGCCACTCGGGAGGCTGAGGCAAGAGGATCGCTTGAACCCTGAAGGTGGAGGTTGCAGTGAGCCGAGATCACGCCACTGCACTCCAGTCTGGGCAATAGAGCAAGATTCCATCTCCAAAGGAAAAAAAATAGTGCTTCTCAAACTTTAATGTGCACAAGACTCACCTGGGATCCCGTTACAATGCAGTTTTTTTGTTTTTTTTGTTTTTTTGAGGTGGAGTCTTACTCTGTCACCCAGGCTGGAGTGCAGTGGCGCCATCTCGGCTCACTGCAAGCTCTGCCTCCTGGGTTCACGCCATTCTCCTGCCTCCGCCTCCTGAGTAGCTGGGACTACAGGCACCTGCCACCATGCCCGGCCAATTTTTTTTGTATTTTTAGTAGAGACGGGGTTTCACCGTGTTAGACAGCATGGTCTCGATCTCCTGACCTCGTGATCCGCCTGCCTCGGCCTCCCAAAGTGCTGGGATTACAGGCGTGAGCCACCGCGCCCGGCCTCTTCTTTTTTTTTTTTTTTTTTAATGCAGTTTCTAATTTGGTAGCTCCAGGGTGGGCCTCAGACTCTATTTTTCTTTCTTTCTTTCTGGTTTGTTTTGTTTTGTTTTGTTTTTTGAGACAGGGTCCTGCTCTGTCACCCAGGCTTGGAGTGCAGTGGCATGATCATGGCTCACTGCAGCCTCGACCTCCCAGGCTCAAGCGATCCTCTCACCTCAGCCTCCCAAGTAGTTGGGACTACAGGTGCATGCCACCATGCTTAGCTAATTTTGGAGGTATTTTTGGGTAAAGATGGGGGTCTTACTATGCTACCAGGCTGGTCTCGAACTCCTGGGTTCAAGTGATCCACCTGCCTTGGCTTCCCAAAGTTCTGGGATTACAGGCAGGAGCTACCATGCTCAGCCTTGAGCTCCTGGGTGATGCCAATGCTGTTGGGCCAGGACCACATGTTGAGAAGCAGGGTCCCGGGGTGCACTGCTGCCTGACTGTCCATCAGTTCCTCCCCCGTATTCAGAACCTCTGGCCCTACCTGGCTTTGCATCCCTGGGCATAGTCCCTTCTGTAACTGGACTTTCATTGGTGGCTGTGCACTGTCCAGATATAGCCATGGTACTTGCCAGGTTCCTCTCCCTGATCTCACCCTGCCCTCCTCATATCTTTATCTCAGACTGGGAGGCAATGATAGATTAAGGCAAATGGTAGCAGAAAATCTCAAGAGGCAGCTGAGCACAGCACCAGTGAGCAGGGGAGGTGGTGAGCTGCACCTGCCAAGTCCTGGGGTGCGAGCTGGAGGCGGAGGTGGCAACTCCAGGCATCTCACCTTCCCACTTTCATGATACACAAACAGGTTCCTGGTGTGGCCATCTCTCCTGTAGGTGATCTGCAGCCCATGGGGGTGCCCTATCTTCTCTGTCTGGAAGGTGGCATTCAAGTCCTTAATGCTGATGACAGCTTTGGGGCTTTTACCCTGAAAGAGAGAAAGAGAAAGAAAGACGCTGACAGTCCACAGGGTGACTTCTGGTCAACCTTCACCAAGGCCTTCATGCAAACAAGCATCAATCTGTAAATATATGGGTTTTAAATGTTCTTGCTCTCATATCGAAATTCAGATACTGGCCGGACGCAGTGGCTTACGCCTGTAATCCCAGCACTTTGGGAGGCTGAGGTGGGTGGATCACCTATGGTCAGGAGTTTGAAACCAGCCTGGCCAACTTGGTAAAACCCCGTCTCTACTAAAAATACAAAAATTAGCTGGGCGTGGTGGTAGACACCTGTAATCCCAACAACTCGGAAGACTGAGGCAGGAGAGTGGTTTGAACCTGGGAGGTGGAGGTTGCAGTGAGCTGAGATCGTGCCACTGCACTCTAGCCACCACACCTGGCTAATTTTTGTATTTTTAAGTAGAGACAGAGTTTCGCTATGTTGGCCAGGCTGCTCATGAACTCCTGACCTCAGGTGATCCACCTGCCTTGGCCTACCAAAGTGCTGGGATTATAGGCATGAGCCACTGAGCCCAGCCTATCGTTCCCTTCTTTGTGTCCATGTGTACTCAATGTTTAGCTTCCATTTATATGTTAGAACATTTGGTTTTCTGTTCCTTTGTTAGTTACTTAAGATAATGTTCTCCAGATCAATCCACGTTGCTGAGAGAACATGATCTCATTCTTTTCTTTGTTTTTATTTTTGTTTTGTTTTGCTCTTGCTGCCCAGCTGGAGTGCAACGGCGTGATCTCGGCTCACTGCAAACTCCGCCTCCCAGGTTCAAGCGATTCTCCTGCCTCAGCCTCTCGAGTAGCTGGGATTACAGACGTGTGCCACCACACCCAGCTAATTTTTTGTATTTTTAGTAGAAACGGGGTTTCACCATGTTAGCCGGGCTGGTCTCAAACTCCTGACCTCAGGTGATCTGCCCGCCTCGGCCTCCCAAAGTGCTGGGATTACAGGCATGAGCCACCGCCCCCGGCCAATCTGGTTCTTATTTATTTATTTATTTATTTATTTATTTATTTATTTATTTATTTATTTTTGAGATAGAGTCTTGCTCTGTTGTCCAGGCTGAAGTGCAATGGCGTGATCTGAGGTCACTGCAACCTCTGCCTCCCAGATTCTAACCATTCTCCTGCCTCAGCCTCCTGAGTAGCTGGGATTACAGACACGTGCCGCCATGCCTGGCTAATTTTTGTATTTTTAGTAGAGATGGGGTTTGACCATGTTGGTCAGGCTGTTCTTGAACTCCTGACCTCGTGATCCACCTGCCTCGGCCTCCCAAAGTTCTGGGATTACAAGCATGAGCCACTGTGCCCAGCCAATCTCATTCTTTTTTATGGCTGTGTAGTATTCTATGATGTTTATGTACCACATTTCCATTATCCAGTCCACCATTGATGGGCATCTGGGCCGATTCCATGTTTTTGCTATTGTAAATAGTGCTGCGATGAAAATACATGTACATGTGTCTTTACAGTAGAATTCTTTCTTTTTTCTTTTCTTTCTTTCCTTTTTTTTTTTCAGACTGAGTTTCACTCTTGTTGCCCAGGCTGGAGTACAATGGAGTGATCTCAGCTCACTGCAACCTCCACCTCCTGGGTTCAAGCGATTCTTCTGCCTCAGCCTCCCAAGTTGCTGGGATTACAGGGATACGCCACCACGCCTGGCTAATTTTGTATTTTTAGTAGAGACAGGGTTTCTCCATGTTGGTCAGGCTGATCTCGAACTCCCGACCTCAGGTGATCCGCCGGCCTCTGCCTTCCAAAGTGCTGGGATTACAGGCGTGAGCCACTGCATCCGGCCTATAGTAGAATTATTTCTATTGCTTTGGGTATATACCCAGTAATGGGATTGCTGGGTCAAATGTTAGTTCTGTTTTAAGTTCTTTGAGAAATCTCCAAACTGCTTTCTACCGTGGCTGAACTAATTTACATTCCTGCCACAAGTGTGTAAACATTCCCTTTTCTCCACAACCTCACCAGTATCTGTTACTTTTTTACTTTTTGATAACAGTCATTCTGACTGGTATAGATGGTATCTCATTGTGGTTTTGACTTACATTTCTCTGATTAGTGATGTTGAGCATTTTTTCATTTGCTTGTTGGCCACGTGTATGTCTTCTTTGAGAAGTGTCTGTACACATCTTTTGCCCATTTTAATGAGGTTCTTTTTGCTTTCAACATTATATTTTTGAGGTCTACCCATGCTGAGATACACCAGTCTAGTTTGCTCTTGTAAATGACTATACCAAAAGTTATCAATCTATTTTCTGTTAATAGATTGTTCCGATATATATATTGAGATTGTTCCTGATTTTTTGCTATCATAAGTAATGTTGCAGTCAGTTTGTGCATCTGGTACACATATGTGAGTGCATCTGTAGGTCACAGCGTATGCTTAGAAATGGAATTGCTGGATCACAGTTATATACATCTTCACTTACTAGAGACTGCCAAATTATTCTGCTGAATGGCTCAACAGTGATTGTACCAATATTTACTTCCATCAATGAAATAGAATAGTTCCCCTTTCCCCATATACTCACCAACACTTGACACTACCAGATTACAAAATTTTTGCCAATATGATGGGTATGGAATTGTATCTCATTGTTAATTTTCACTTAATCAACATTTATTGAGGTGTAGTTTAGAAACAATAAAGTGTACCCGTATTAAGTTTGGGCCGGGCACTGTGGCTCACACCTGTTATCCCAGCACTTTGGGAGGCCGAGGCAGGTGGATCACGAGGTTGAGAGATCGAGACCATCCTGGCCAACATGGTGAAATCCTGTCTCTACTAAAAATACAAAAATTAGCTGGGAGTGGTGGTACACACCTGTAGTCCCAGCTACTAGTGAGGGTGAGGAAGGAGAATCGCTTGACCCCAGGAGGCGGAGGCTGCAGTGAGCCAAGATCGCACCACTGCACTCCAGCCTGGTGACAGAGCAAGACTCCATCTCGAAAAAAAAAAAATAGTTTGATTTTTGACAAATGTATATACCCATGTAACCACAACAATCAAGATATAAAACATTACTTATCATCCTAAATGTCACCCCAAAAGACTTCACTCATCCCCCTTCGCAGAATCTCTACCCCATTCCAACACCAGATAACCACTTATTTGTCTTCTATCAGTACAGTTTTGCCTGTTCTAAAATTTCATATAAATGAGATCATATAATACTCTTATACAAGGTGACTTAGAAAAGTTCATGGAAAACACATAGTATGAAAAAGCTATGCATGGATTTCAAATTGTTTTGCACCAAAATAAACTCATACTAACTTGTTATAACATGTCTGAGTGGGATTTTGTTTGAGGCACTAAGAAGGATACGACATCAACTTGAAAACAGCCCCTCTCAGAGCAACATGAATTCTGCTAAAATTGAAGCAAGAACAAACATCAACATTTATGGTGAAGCTTGGATGGAAGAATGGTGAAATCACTGGTGCTTTCAGAAAAGTTTACGGGGACAAATCCCCAACAAAATTAGCAGTTTACAAATGGATAACTTGTTAAGGAGGGACAAGATGATGTTGAAGATGGCGCCTGCAGCAGCAGACCATCTACATCAATTTACAATGAAAAAAATCATCTTGTTCATGCCCTAATTGAAGAGAAGCAATAATTAACAGCACAAACAATAGCTAACACCACAGATACCTCAATTGGTGCAGCTCACACAAATCTGACTGAAAAATTAAAGCTGGGCAAACTTTCCACTCAATGGGTACCAATGCCATTGCACCCAGATCAGTTGCAGACAAGAGCAGAGCTTTCAATGGAAATTTTAAACAAGTGAGATCAAGATCCTGAGGCAGTTCTTTGAAGAACTGTAACAGGAGATGAAACATGGCTTTACCAGTATGATCCTGAAGACAAAGCATAATCAAAGCAATGGCTACCGAGAGGTTGAAGTGGTCCTGTCATAGCAAAAGCAGACCAGTCAAGAACAAAGGCCATGGTAAAGTTTTCTGGGAGATGCTCAAGGTATTTTGCTTGTTGACTTTCTAGAGGGCCAAAGAACAATAACATCTGCTCATTATGAGAGTGTTTTGAGAAAGTTAGCCAAAGCTTCAGCAGAAAAACATCTGAGAAAACTTCACCAGAGAGTCCTTCTCCCCCAGGACAATGCTTCAACTACATTTCTCTCATCAAACAAGGGCAATTTTGTGAGAGTTTCAATGGGAAGTGATTATGCATCATCTTACAGTCCAAATTCGGCTCCTTCTAACTTCTTTTTGTTTTCTAATCTTAAAAAATCTGTAAAGGAGGCCGGGCATGGTGGCTCACGCCTGTAATCCCAGCACTTTCAGAGACCAAGGCGGGCGAATCACTTGAGGTCAGGAGTTCGAGACCAGCCTGGCCAACATGGTGAAACCCCGTCTCTACTAAAAATACAAAAATTAGCCCAGCATGGTGGCCAACGCCTGTAATCCCAGCTCCTGGGGAGGCTGAGGCAGGACAATCACTTGAACCTGGGAGGCGAAGGTTGCAGTGAGCCGAGATCGTGCCACTGTACTCCAGCCTGGGCGATGAAGCGAGACTCCATCTCGAAAAAAAAAAAATCTGTAAAGGGTACCCATCTTTCTTCAGTTAATAGTGTAAAAAAAAAGGCCAGGCGTGGTGACTTATGTCTGTTATCCTAGCACTTTGGGAGACTGAGGCTGGTAGATCGGTTGAGTTCAGGAGTTCAAGACCAACCTGGGCAACATGATGAAATCCTGTCGTTGCCAAAAAATACAAAAATTAGCCAGGCATGGTGGTGTGTGCCTGAAGTCTCAGCTACTCGGGAGGCTGAGGTGGAAGGAGCGCTTGAGCCTGGGAGGTTGTGGCTGCAGTGAGCTAGAATTGCACCACTGTACTCCAGCCTTGGTGAAAGAGCAAGACCCTGTCTCAGAAAACAGCATAAAAAAACAAAATGTAAAAAAGACTGCATTGGCATGGTTAAATTCCCAGGACCCTCAATTGCTAGGGGATGGACTAAATGGCTGGTGTCATCACTTATAAAAGTGTCTTGACCTTGATGGAGCTTATGTTGAGAAATAAAGTTTATATCTTTAATTTTAATCTCATTTGTCCAATACCTTTTTTTTTTTTTTTTTTGGAAATGGAATTTTGCTCTTTCGCCCAGGCTGGAGTGCAGTGGCGCCATCTCGGCTCACTGCAAGCTCCGCCTCCCAGGTTCGGGCCATTCTCCTGCCTCAGCCTCCTGAGTATCTGCGACTACAGGCGCCTGCCACCACGCCCAGCTAAGTTTTTGTATTTTTAGTAGAGACGGGATTTCACCGTGTTAGCCAAGATGGTCTCAATCTCCTGACCTCGTGATCTGCCTGCCTCGGCCTCCCAAAGTGCTGGGATTTCAGGTGTGAGCCTCCGAGCCTGGCCTCCAAGAACTTTTTGAAGTGCTTTGTATAGAGCTTGGGGCTTTTTTTTTTTTTTTTCAGTTTCACTTTCTTTATACTTCATTTCCTTTTTTGTATTACCCAAAAGTTTTACCTAAAAATTAGTTACCTTTATGATTTTAAAATATCCACTTTGGGAAATAAATAAAAAAGAACATAGGGAGCCCATTCTATTTTTGGACTATTCTAGACTGAACTGGCGTAGGACTGAAAAACAGATCAACTTTTTTCAACCAATGATGAGGCCCTGTCCGAGAGACCAACTCGCAGCAGCTGCTGGGGTTTGGTGACCTTTCCTAACTGCAGTAGCGCTTTCTCTTCCGGCCTTTTGTACCATTTCAGCAAAAATGTTGAAAAAGCCACATTTTTCAGTGCTTTACATTGAAGACTGGGAAAAAATTCTTCCTCTAACTTGGAGGGTAAAGATTCTTCATCCCTTAACACTTTTTACTTGGTCCCAGACTGTGGCCACATTGGACAGACCTTTTATATTATTATTTATACAAATTTATGGGGTACATGTGAAATTTCGCTACATGTATATAATGTGTAGTGATCAAGCCAGGATATTTAGGGTGTTGGTCACCAGAGTATTTTTGTTAAGCATAGTTACCCCACTCTGGTATCAAATATTGAATTTATTCCTTGCATCTTACAATGTTTGTACCCTTTAACCCACTTCTCTTCATCCTCCCTTCTCCTCCCCATAGACAGACCTTTTAGCATTGCTCTGGTCTGCCTAGAAAAGCAACAGGGGGAATATATAATAATTCTACATATAGGAAATAGAGTAAGGTGAAGGCTAAAGTGCTCAGAGCTTATCCTTCTCTTACTTTGTTGGCCACAATTTCACATTCTCTTTGCTGAAAACTTCTTATCTTTCTGTCCTTTAAATACTGGAATGCCCCAGGGCTCAATGGGGTAGATGGTCTCCAAAGATGGCGCTCACCCAGTCTTTCCCTCCCAGTGTATACGTGACCCTCTATCCATGAAGAGGTTGAATCTATTTCCCCTCCCCTTGAATCAGGGCTTGTTGCATGACTTGCTTTGACCAACAGAATGCAGCTCCTGGTTAGCCTTCCAGAGGTCTGGTAGCATTTGCTTTTGTTTAGGGAAGTCAGCAGCCAAGCCACAAGAAAGCTTAAGCTAGACTCCTGAATGAGAAAGACAGAGCCCCCATATAGAGTACACCAAGGCACCAGACATGAGTGAAAGCTTCTTTGGGTCTCTGGCCAGCTAAGGGCAGCAGAGTAGCCCAGCTGATGCCACATGGAGTACACCAGAACAGCCGAGGCCTCCTCAAATTCCTGACCCATAGGATTGTGAGAAATAGTAAATTGATATTTTAAGCCATTAAGTTTTAGGATGGTTTGTTACTCAGCAACACATAACCAAAATACTCAGTCCTTGAACACCTTTTTCCTGCTTAGGTGATCCTAGCCAGTCCCATTACTAAACCAGTCTACATGCTGACGACTCCAGTTCCAAACTCTCTCCAAGCCTCCAAATCAGACATCCAACTTCTGCCACTTGGGTTTAGAATTCAGGAAACATACATCCAACTTCTTTCCCCATGTCTCTACTGGATGACTCATAGGCATCTCAAAATAAAAAGGACTTTTGAGCATCCCCTTAGGGGTCTAAGTCTTTGCCACCTTAGTAAATAGCAAATCTATTCTTGTAGTTTTATAGAGCAAAAATCTGGGAATCATCCTTGATTCCTCTTACTCTCACACCCCACATCCAATCCTTCAATAAATTCTATTGCCTCTACTTCCAAAATATATCCAGAATCTGACCACTTCTAACCATCCTGGTCGGATCCACCATTCTTCTTCACTTGGGTTATTGCAACAGCTTCCTGACTAATTTCTCTGCCTCTGCTCTGGCCTCCTTCCTCCCTACTCACCCTAGCAGCAGCCAGCGTGCTGCTTTTTAAAAGCTTAAGTCAGGCTGGGCGCAGTGGCTCATGCCTATAATCCCAGCATTTTGGGAGGCTGAGGTGGGCAGATCACATGAGGTTAGGAGTTCTAAATCAGCCTGGTCAACATGGTGAAACCCTGTCTCTACTAAAAATACAAAAATTAGCCGGGTGTGGTGGTGCACGCCTGTAGTCCCAGCTACTGGGGAGGCTGAGGCAGGGGAATCACTTGAACCCGGGAGGTGGAGGTTGCAGTGAGCCGAGATCACACCATTGCACTTCAACCTGAGCAATAGAGTGAAATCCCATCTCAAAAAATAAATAAATAGGCCGGGCGCGGTGGCTCACGCCTGTAATCCCAGCACTTTGGGAGGGTGAGGTGGGTGGATCACGAGGTCGGAAATTCAAGACCAGCCTGGCCAAGATGGTGGAACCCTGTCTACTAAAAATACAAAAACTAGCCAGGCATGGTGGTGCGCGCCTGTAATCCCAGCTACTCGAGAGACTGAGGCAAAGAATTGCTTGAACCTGGGAGGCAGAGGTTGCAGTGAGCCGAGATCACGCCACTGCACTCCAGCCTAGGTGACAGAGTGAGCCTCCATCTCAAATCAATCAATCAATCAAAAACTTAAGTCAAATAATATCACTTCTCAGCTCAAAATCCTCCAATTTCTTCCCATCTCACTCAGTAAAATCCAAAAGCTCAAATTTTTGCAAATCCTACATGTATAAGTGACTTGTATCTAGAATATATACAGAACTATTACAACTTAATAATAAAAAGACAAATAACCTAATTAAAATATGGGGAAAGTATCTGTGTTAGCCAAGATGGTCTCCATCTCCTGAACTCCTGATCTGCCCACCTCGGCCTCCCAAAGTGCTGGGATTACAGGCGTGAGCCACCGCGCCCGGCCAATATGGGAAAGGATCTGAATAGACATTTCTACAAATAAGATATACAAATGGCCAATAAGCACATTAAAAAGATGCTCAACATCATTTGCCATGTGGGAAACGCCAATCAAAACCACAATGAGATACGACTTCATACCCATGAAGACGGCTATTATAAAAAAGACAGATATGGGCCTGGCGTAGTGGCTCACATCTATAATCCTAGTACTTTGGGAGGCTGAGGCAGAGGATTGCTTGAAGCCAGGAGTTTGAGAACAGCGTAGACAACAAAGCAAAACCCTATCTCTACAAAAATAAATAAGTAAATAAAAATTAGCTGGGTGGAGTGGTATGCATCTGCAATCCCAGTGCTTTGAGAGACCGGAGCAGGAGGAGTGCTTGAGGCCAGTAATTTAAGGTTGCAGTGAGCTATGATTGCACCACTGCACTCCAGCCTGGCCAACAGAGGAAGACTCTGTCTCTAAAAAAATAAATAAGATAAAATAGTAAAATAAAATAAAAATAACCAGATTAGGCAAATCCATAGAGACAGAAAGTAAGTTGTTGGTTGCCTAGGGCTAGTGGTGGGGTGGGGTGGGGGATTACAGCTAAGGGATAAGGTGTTTAAAGTTTTTAACTGAATTGTGGTGATAGTTGTGCTACTCTGTGAATACACTAAAAGCCAATTGACTGCATACTTTTAATGGGTGAATTATATGGTATGTGAATTGTATCTCAATAAACTGTTACCAAAAGAAATCCCAAGTCTTGCTATGACCTACAAGGCCCTCCACCATGTGACTTCATCTCCCTCCACACTTTTCCTTGCTCACTCTGCACAAGTCGCTCTGCCCTCCTTGATGCCCTACACCCACCAAACACACTTCTAGCTCAGGGCCAGGGTTGCAGCTTATGGTTAAGTCGTTTGTGCACTGCATAAAAAGCTCCTAGCTGACTGGTAACTGCAAACCAGGCTTCTGATTTTCGAGACTGGGGCCCAGGGGCTGCACCCTCTTAAAGGGATCATCTTTCTCAAATCGGTACAAAGGTGTATGTGTTTGACCATACCTGTGCTCAGGGCTTCTGCACATACTGTTCCTCCCCTTTCTTCTATTCTTCCCCCCACATAGCCATGTAACTCAGTGCTCACATTTGTTCAGTTATCTGCTCAAATGTCACCAGAGAGGCCTTCCCTGATCACTCTGCAGCAGCACTCCCTGACTCCCTAACACACTCTCATTGTTGTCTATCTTCTCACTCTCCGCTATTTTACTTCTTTTTTTCTTGAGACGGAGTTTCACTCTTGTTGCCCAGGCTGGAGTGCAATGGCACGATCTCAGCTCACCACAACCTCCACCTCCCAGGTTCAAGTGATACTCCTGCCTCAGTCTCCCGAGTAGCTGGGATTACAGGCATGCACCACCACGCCCAGCTAATTTTATATTTTTTTAGTAGAGATGGGGTTTCTCCATGTTGGTCAGGCTGGTCTCAAACTCCCGACCTCAAGTGATCCACCTGCCTTGGCCTCCCAAAGTGCTGGGATTACAGGCATGAGCCACCATGCCCGGTTTTTGTTTTTGTTTTTGTTTTGTTTTGTTTTTTGAGACAGGGTCTCACTCTGTCACCCATGCTAGAGTACAGTGGCACAATCTCGGCTCAATGCAGCCTCGACCTCCCATGCTCAAGCAGTTCTCCCACCTCAGACTCCCTAGTAGCTGGGACTACAGGCATGTGCCACCATACAAAGGTGTATGTGCTTGACCCAGCTAATTTTTGTATTTTTTGTAGAGATGGGGCTTCACCATGTTGCCCAGGCTGATCTCAAACTTCTGAACTCAAGCAATCCCCCTGCCTCAATCTCTTACTAAAGTGCTGGGATTATAGGTGTGAGCTACTGTGCGCAGCCACTTCTATTTTACTTTATAAAACTATTGCCTCCTGGTATATTATATATTGATGTTTTGATTACGGAGCTCTTTCCTTTCACTAGACTGAAAGCTCCCTGAGAACAAGAGTTTTGTTTAGTTCCCTGCTGTATCCTCAGTGCCTGGAATAATGTCTAGCACACAGTAGGTACTCAATAAATGTTTCTTAAGTGAATGAATAAATGAAGCAAAACCAAGTGGTCATCAAAGGCTTAAACATGGACCTATCTAAGCTGATTCTAGGTGGACAGAAAGTATGATTTTTGGTGGACTGGATTTACTGTATAGCCAAGGAAAAGTAGCCAAATGTTGTGCCTAACTCTCAGGGGCTGAGATTATCTACAAGAAAAGGGCACCACTGATTAGAATGTAGACCTTAGTCGGGTGAGAGTGCTCAGGAAGGGACCTGCTCTCATTGGTCTGGCATCTTACCTGTTCCTTTGTGAAGTACTTCAGGAGGCCTTCTCTTGCCAGAAGTACAAACTTCCTTCTCAGAAACTGTGAGTTGTCCCTTCCTCGCTTCCACAGGAATCCTTCTCGGTTACCTTAAGCAGCAAGGATGACAAAGCGTGAACACACGTGACCTTAAGATCACAAGCAGCTCAGGAACCTCTGAGGTTCTCAAGGGTGGAATAAGCCTTCCATCTGCTGCCAAAGTATCTCCACTCAGACTTCCCTATTTCAGCTGCAGAACACAAGGATCCCATCTGTGGCCAACTTTGTGATGTCTTTTCACTTCAGGGGCACTTCCCACTGCCTAAAACCTTTCTTCCTTGACTTTCTGTGTATCAGGCTGTCTCATAAGAAGACCCTTAAGAAGGCAAAGTCCTGAGAAACTGGACTGATTCTGAAAGACACTTAAATACATACTAAATACATATGGTCCTGCCCAACTTCATGCTGACATCAACCTAATGAAACTTTAGAAGTAAGGCAGGGCGCAGTGGCTCACGCCTGTAATCCCAGCACTTTGGGAGGCCGAGGCGGGCAGATCACAAGGTCGGGAGTTCAAGACCAGCCTGACCAACATGGTGAAACCCCGTCTCTACTAAAAATACAAAAATTAGCTGGGCATGGTGGCGCGTGCCTGTAATCCCAGCTACTCAGGAGGCTGAGACAGGAGAATCACTTGAACCCGGGAGGGGGAGGTTGCAGCGAGCCGAGATTGTGCCACTGCACTCCAGCCTGGGTGACACAGTGAGACTCCCTCCGGGCATCTGCTGGTTTGAAGAATAATTTATGGGCTGGGTGCAATGGCTCACACCTGTAATCTTGACACCTTGGGAAGCCAAGGCAGACAGATCACTTGAAGTCAGGAGTTTGAGATCAGCCTGGCCAACATGGCAAAACCCTGACTCTCCTAAAAATATAAACATTAGCCAGGTGTGGTTGTGCATGCCTGTAATCCCAGCTACTCGGGAGACTGAGGCATGAGAATCACTTGAACCTGGGATGTGGAAGTTGCAGTGAGCCGAGTTCACGCCATTGCACTCCAGCCTGGGTAACAGAGTGAGACCCTGACTCAATAAATAAATACATAAATAAATAGAATAATTTGTGGTCCTGGTAGCCAGGATAGCTGAGCACTGCCTCTGGCCCTCTAAGAATGATTTTTTATACTTTACTGTCTGGGTCAGAGTCAGCTTGGACTCAGGACCGTGGGGGTGAAACTGCCACAGGTCCAGGGCCACAGAAGAGGTTGTACCCTGCACAATGGTCGAAAGGGAGGCTGAATTTAAGCCCATCCTCCTCACCAAGTCTTGAGCTGCACCAGGAATAAAGCTCACCAGGAGCAGGGATATCTTTTCCTAATTGGTCTGTCCAGTGGAGGAGTCTTTCTGCAATTTACATTAAGTGTTTGATGCTGGGCGCGGTGGCTCATGCCTGTAGTCCCAGAACTTTGGGAGGCTAAGGTGGGCAGATCATGAGGTCAGGAGTTCGAGACCAGCCTGGCCAACATGGTAAAACCCCGTCTTTACTAAAAATACAAAAATTAGCCAAGCATGATGCTGTAATCCCAGCTACTCAGGAGGCTGAGGCAGGAGAATCGCTGGAACCCAGGAGGCAGAGGCTGCACTGAGCTGAGATCATGCTACTGCACTCCACCCTGGGCAACAAGAGCAAGACTCTGTCTCAAAAAAAAAAAAAAGAAGAAGAAGAAAAAGAAAAAGAGTCTGGCTGGGCACAGTGGCTCATGCCTGTAATCTCAGCACTTTGGGAGGCCAAAGCGAAAGGATCACTTGAGTTCAGGAGTTCAAGACCAGCCTGGGCAACATGGTGAAACCCCATCTCTACAAAAAATAAAAATAAAAAAATAAAAGCCACTAAAATTAGCCAGGTATGGTGGCATGTGCCTGTAGTCCCAGCTAGTTGGGAGGCTGAGGTGGGAGGATCATGTGAGCCCGGGAGATTGAAGCTGCAGTGAGCTGTGATAGTGCCACTGCACTCCAGGCTGGACAACAGAGTAAGACCCTGTCTCAAAAAAAAAAAAAAAAAAAAGAGTCTGTACACACTTGTGACCCTGCAAAGACCTGAGACAAAGACCATAGAAGCTCTGAGCTTCTCTGCTGCTCAGAGCATAAAGCCCCACCAGCTGATGTGTTGTTATTTCAAAGTCAGAAGAACCCACACCTTGGCCTCTGCGGCCACAGTGAGAACAGCAGGCATCTCTTGGATGGATCTTGCTCCTAATATTTAGGCACTTGGTTTTTCTAGAGCTCATTAAAACATAGATTTCAAAAGGTGATGGAAATAACTTTACCTGGGAGCGAGATGGTTTCCCCATCAGCCATAAATTCCCGTCTCTCATACTTAGCTCGAATCCATTGTTCCTTTAAGACCCTAAAAAGAGAGAGCCTGAGGTCAGCTGCGTTTGATGCATTCTCTTTTTTTTTTTTTTTTGAGACAGGGTCTCCCTCTGTTGCCCAGGCTGGAGTGCAGTGGTGTGATCACGTGATCACGGCTCACTGCAGCCTAGACCTCCTAGGCCCAGGCGATCCTCCCATCTCAGCCTCTTAAGTAGCTGGGATCACAGGCAGGCACCACCACACCTGGCTAATTTTTAAATTTTTGTAGAGATGGGGGTCTCCCTATGTTGCCTAAGCTGGTCTTGAACTCCAGGGCTCAAGCGATCCTCCTGCCTCAGCCTCCCAAAGTGCTGGGATTACCACCATGCCTGGACTGATGCATTCTTTTCCAAGACCCTGCAGTTGAGGGTGGGAACATCACAGCAGTGCCTCACTGCCTGCTCCAGCTACCTAGGATTCCTCAGCCTCAGTACTGTTAACATTCGGGGTTGGATAATTCCTTGTTCTGTTGTCTTATGGGTTGTCCCATGCTCCACAGAATGTTTAGCAGCATTTCTGGCCTCTACCCATTAGATGCCAGTAGCACCCCCTCCCCAGTTGTGGCACCCAAAAATGTCTTCAGGCATTGCCAAATGTCCTCTGGGGGAAATATTTCTCCCAGTGGGCTATATGAGAACCACCGAGTTGTTCCAATCCCAGTATCAGCTCTCTAGGTCAATGAGACAGATACTGGCTCCTCTGGACCATCTACACCACCTGCTCCCACTGTGTGTTCATGAGCTTAGGCAGGAGAGTCCAGGAGCCTCTTCCTGTACCTGCCCATGAAGTCTGGGCAGGCTACACTGGACAAAGCAGTCGTCTTAGGATCTGACCACCTGGGACCTGGTCTCACTCTATCATTTATCCACTGTGTGACCATGAGCAAGTTACCCAACTCCTCTGAATTTGGGGAATAGACCTCTATTGTTATACTCACTTAGCCCTCAGGGTTGTTGAGAGGTTTAAATGTATATAAAGGGCCTAGCACCTACTCAGCACATAGTAGGTGTTTAATGTGATCTCAATCAGAGATTGTCATCCGTGAGTCCTGCAGAAAAACCATGCAGCCGAGAGTGGAGTTATTTTAATTGTTTGGTTCCTGCTCACCTTTTCCAGGGAAGTGTTCCAAGGTATATATGACCTTACCCCATAGCCACAGGAATGACCTAGAGCTGGGCATCTGGCCCAACCTGGTCATTCAGAGCTCTTTGCTGCTCTGGGCTGTGTGGACTGAGAGGGTCAAAAGTGAAGGAGAGATTGATGGAGCTTTCTCCAGAGTCACGCTGGAAGGTATAGCCTGGCACCTGCTTGTGGCCTTGCTGCCAGCTGTGTGAAGGAAGCCTGTCTGAGAGAAAGAGGAAAGAGAGCCAGAGAGAGTATGAGAGACCTGATGGTGTGTGAGCTCCTGGCTTGGTCCTTCCTGAGGCCAGCTCCACCACTGTCCTTCAGGTAGTCTGATCCCCAGAACCCATAAAATCCTCTTTTTTTAATGCTGGTTTAAACTGGGCTTCTGGCCAGGCGCAGTGGCTCACACTTGTAATCCTAGCACTTTGGGAGGCCAAGGCAGGCAGATCACTTGAGGTCAGGAGTTCAAGACCAGCCTGGCCAACATAGCAAAACCCCGGCTCTACCAAAAATACAAAAATTAGCTGGGCATGGTGGCACGTGCCTGTAATCCCAGCTACTTGGGAAGCTGAAACAGGAGAATCGCTTGAACCCAGGAGGTGGAGGTTGCAGTCAGCTGAGATTGTGCCACTGCACTCCAGCCTGGGTGAAAGAGCAAGACTCTGTCACAAAAATAAATAAATAAATAAATAAATAAATAAATAAATAAATAAGGTTTCTGTCGCTTACAATCAAGAGTCCAGGCTGGGCATGGTAACTCATGCCTGTAATCCCAGCACTTTGGGAGGCCAACACAGGCAGATGGCTTGAGCTCAGCTCAGGAGTTTGAGACCAGCCTGGGCAACATGATGAAACCTCATCTCTACAAAAATAAAAACAAACAAAAATACAAAAATTAACCAGGCATGGTGGCATGCACCTGTAGTTCCAGCTACTTGGGAGGCTGAGGTGGGAGGATCACTTGAGCCGAGGAGGTTGGGGCTGCAGTGAGCCATGATTGTGCCACTGAACTCTAGCCTGGGCAACAGAGTGAAACCTTGTCTCTATATTTAAAAAAGAAAGAAAGAAAAAAGAGAGAGAGAGTCATTCCTAGTGCACAGCCCACAGATCACTGAGGAGAATCACCTGGCCCACCATGAGGGTGGAAACCCTGGGACACAAGATCAGAGCAGGGAGAAGGAATGGAGACCAAGGGCCACCCATGTTGGTCCTGAAGGTGGCCATTAGTACTCAGACAAAAAGGGTTAAAGTGCAGGGCTGCTGCTGGAGTCATGGTGGGTAATGTCTGTTTAGTGCCGGCAGGAAGCCTAGCACAGCGCACGTGTTCACTGAGCACTTGGAGCAAAGGACAGAGTGGCAGCAGCGAGCCAGGATGAGACAGGCCCTCTCGAGTCAGCACACCCCACAGCTGGCCATGGACAGGTAGCATTCTGAAGCAGACACAGTGAAATGGATTCAAACCCGTGTGTCGGGTGGCATGTGAAAGGTTCTACATAAGTTATCTCATGTAATCTCTACAAGTATGCTATGATGCAGGCATCATTGCCTACATTTCAGAGATGAGGATGTTGACAATCAGAGAGATTTGCTGACTTGCCCACGTCCTCCCAGCTAGGTCACAGTAGAGCTAGGAAACAAAACTGAGGTCTTCCAAGTAGAAAGCTGTGCTTCCCCAGCCACTCCAGAGTACATTACTAGCTCTTAATTGTCTAAGCACTGAGAAATTACAAGACCACTAGGTATGGTTATATAGTCTGTGTACTGCCCAAAAGCACCTTGCTGAGGCTCGGCAGCTGAAATGCAGCTGCTTTCTGTTTGCCAGACATACCCGCTATGAGGCTGGGTCAGCCTAAAGGGATTCCTTCTCCCCATTTACACAAGATACTGTCTAGCAGCCCTGGTGGGGAGTCTAAGTCCCTGGGAAGGAGTCGTAGGCTCAGGCAGTCAGATCTGCAGAGGTCCAGGGCCACTAGGTACCAGTGCCACACTAACCCTCACCTCCAGGGGACCTGAACCCTCCTGCTGCTTCAAAGCCCCCCTCTTATATAAAATTATCCCAATTCCATGAAACAGTCACCCTGGCCCTGGTGTCAGACAGGCTAGACCAGTATTGCCTCCACAAACCTCAGGTTTTTTCATCTATAGCATAGGGATAGTAGCAGTACTTGTAGGGTTGTTGAAAGAATTAAATAAATACATGCACATAAGCATTTTGCACAGGGCGTAGTACTTAAGCAAAGCTCAATAATATTAGTAGCAATTTTTTTTTTGAGACAAAGTCTCACTCTGTTGCCCAAGCTGGAGTGCAGTGGTGCAATCTCTGCAACCTCCACCTCTCGGGTTCAAGCGATTCTCCTCCCTCAGCCTCTCGAGTAGCTGGGACTACAGGCATGTACCACCATGCCCAGCTAATTTTTTAATTTTTAGTAGAGACGGGGTTTCACTATGTTGGCCGGGCTGGTCTTGAACTCCTGGCCTCGAGTGATCCGCCCGCCTCGGCCTCCCAAATTGCTAGGATTACAGGTGTGAGCCGCCACATCCGGCCTTTTTTTTTTTTTTTTTTTTTTTGAGACAGTCTCCTTCTGTTGCCCAGGCTGGAGTGCAGTGGCGTGATCTTGGCTCAATGCACCCTCTGCCTCCGGGTTCAAACAATTCTCATGCCTTAGCCTCCTGAGTAGCTGGGACTACAGGCATGAGCCACCGCATCCAGCCAGTAGCTACTTTTTTTTTTTTTCTAATGCTAGGTCTCACTCTGTCACTCATACTAGAGTGCAGTGACACATGTGATCCTAGCTCACTGCAATCTGGGCTCAAGCAATCCACCCACTTCAGTCTTCCTAGTAGCTCAGACTACAGGCACGTGCTACTATGCCCTGGCTAAGTTCATTTTATTTTATTTTTTGTAGAGACAGGGTCTTGCTATGTTGCTCAGGCTGACATTGAACTCCTATCTTCAAGCGATCCTCCCACCTCAGCCTCCCAAAGTGCTAGGATTACAGGCACTGGCCATTGTGCCTGGCTGTTATTCTTATTTTTATGGTTAGTATTTAGGGATCTGCAGCTCAGGCAAGTTGTTTAGAGCCAGCCCGAGCTTAGGTGGCAGAGCCCTAGACATATTTCTATCTTTTATTTTTTTTTTTTTTTGAGCCGGAGTCTCGCTGTGTTGCCCAGGCTGGAGTGCAGTGGCGCCATCTTGGCTCACTGCAAGCTCTGCCTCCCGGGTTCACACCCTTCTCCTGCCTCAGCCTTCCAAGTAGCTGGGACTCCAGTGCCCGCCACCACGCCCGGCTAAATTTTTTTTGTATTTTTAGTAGAGACAGGCTTTCACCGTGTTAGCCAGAATGGTCTCGATCCCCTGACCTCGTGATCTGCCCGCTTCGGCTTCCCAAAGTGCTGGGATTACAGGCCTGAGCCACCGTGCCTGGCCAGCTCTAGACATATTTCTCTAAAGGAAGTAGCTGAAACACACTTGGTCTAGTAAGATACTAGTGTTTACCCCCTCTTATCAAGTTAGCCACCATCTGTAAGCTACAAGAATGTCACAGGCAGAGATCATAGAGAAAAATCATAGAGATCATACAGAAAAATCCTCCATTTAAGAGCTGTGGAAACTGAGGCCCAGAGAAAGGAAGAGACACGCCCAAGCAACAGAGGCAGAAAGAGGCTTATACCAGTCTTCCCATGTGCTCTCTGTGATGGTATCCAGTGCTTTCCTGGATCCACCTGCGCACCAGGCCCATAGAAGAGACCACCACAGATGAAGACACCAAAGATGGAGAGGGGGAGGAGGTGGAACCAGGACAGACCCCTCACCCAGTCCCTAAGGAATCACCCACTCACAGGCAGTCGTTGGCCTGGGGGATGTAGTAGAAAGCTGGGACTCTGGCTTCGAACTTGGCCTTCACACGGAGGTTTCCATTGTGGATCATAAACTGCAAGACAACAGCAACCTGAGGTAATATTAGAACTTGAAAAAACGTGAAATGAAACTATGAGGCCACTGACTTAGGCTGAGTCAGAAGAAACTGCCTCCAAGAAGGAGATGTCCCACCGGGCTTGGTCATCCATACTGCTGGGAAGCCCCAGCCTGTAACAATCATGGGCAGATATAACCATGCCTCATATGGGCACAGGACTCCACAGTGCTCACACATCAGCTCACTGGGTCCTCTCAGCCATTTTCATATCACTGTACTCATTTTACAGATGAGTCAACTGAGGCTCAGACGGGTTAGGTTACTTGTTCAAGGAAACACAGCTATAAGTGGAGAACTGGGATTTGAACCCAGACCTGACTCCAAAGCTCATATTCTTCCTATCATGCCTTCCACAGATGGCCAGGACCCCTAGCAGCCCTGAAAGTCTGCAGGAGATAAATGTACCTGGAGGATGGAAGAAGTGGGTGCTCGCCTCATGGAGTGCATAGGTCAGGATGATTAGTAGGGCCCTTTGGCACCCAAGAGACCCAGAGGCTGATGCACCAAAAGTGGCCCTGGCAGCAGTGGCATAGCTAGGGTGAGGGCAGAAGTGGGAAGAAACACCAGGTTTTCAATTCACATCGCTTGGGCATCTCCTTTGCAGGAGAGGAGCATTGCTCCTCTTCTCCTCTGCAGGGGCCGCTAGGCTGTGTCGCCAGCTTTGGATCCCAACAGAGCAGGATTCAGATCCTGACTGCCATTTATTTGATGAGTGACCCTTGGAATCTCACCCGTAAAAATGAAGAAAATGGCCAGGCACAGTGGCTCACACCTGTAATCCCAGCACTGTGGGAGGCCAAGGCTGGGGATCACTTGAGGTCAGCAGTTTGAGACCAGCCTGACCAACATGGTGAAACCTTGTCTCTACTAAAAAAATACAAAAATTAGCCAGGACACAGAAAGGTGAGGCAGGATAATTGCTTGAACCCGGGAGGCAGAGGTTGCAGTGAGCCGAGATTTTGCCACTGCCCTCAAGCCTAGGCAATAGAGCAAGACTCTCTCTCAAATAAATAAATAAATTAGCCAGGTATGGTGGTGCACGCCTGTAATCCTAGCTACTCAGGAGGCTGAGGCACAAGAATTGCTTGAACCCAGGAGGAGGAGGTTGCAGTGAGCCAAGATCACACCACTACACTCCAACCTGGGCAACAGAGTGAGTGAGACTCCGTCTCAAAAAAAAAAAAGAAAGAAAGAAAAGAAAAGAAAAGAAAAGAGAAGAAGAAGAAGAAGAAGGAAGAAGGAAGAAGAAGAAGAGGAGGAGGAGGAAGAAGAAGAAGGAAATATAACAGAGGATTGGGCGCTGTAGCTCACACCTGTAATCCCAGCACTTTGGGAGGCTAAGGCAGGTGGATCACCTCAGGTCAGGTGTTCAAGACCAGCCTGGCCAACATGGCGAAACCCCATCTCTACTAAAAATACAAAAAATTAGCCGGGCATGGTGGCGGGCGCCTGTAATCCCAGCTACTCAGGAGACTGAGGCAGGAGAATCGCTTGAATCCAGGAGGTGGAGGTTGCAGTGAGCCGAGATCGTGCCACTCACTGCACTCCAGGCTGGGTGACAGAGTGAGACTGCATCTCAAAAAAAAAAAAAAAAAAAATGCTGGGCACGGTGGCTCACGCCTGTAATCCCAGCACTTTGGGAGGCCGAGGCGGGTGGATCACCTAAGGTCAGGAGTTTGAGACCAGCCTGACCAACAGGGTGAAACCCTGTCTCTAGTAAAAATTCTACTAAAAATACAAAATTAGCCGAGCATGGTGGTGCATGCCTGTAATCCTAGTTACTCAGAAGGCTGAGGCACAAGAATCGCTTGAACCCCAGAGGCAGAGGTTGCAGTGAGCCAAGATCGCATCATTGCACTCCAGCCTGGGCAACAAGAGTGAAACTCCGTCTCAAAAAAAAAAAAAACAAAAAAAACAAAAAAGAAAATATAACATGGGAGTTATAAGGTGCAAATAAAATCCTTCAGGTTTATGTGCTGGTTTACTGGTTTCCAGCCTTTCTCCCACACTAGAATGTAAGCTCTGTATGGCCAGGGACCTTATCTTGTTCATTGTTCTCTCCCAAGACCCAGCACTTAGTAAGGTCACACTAAAGCCTCCAGTCCGGTGCTGTCTAGCACAGTACCTGGCACAGAGTAGGCATTCAGTAAATGTCAGCCTGCTTCCCCAATAGTCCTGGAAACCCTCAGCCAACCCGCACAGTGCAGAACTGCCTGCTCTCTGGAGGTTTTCTGACCAAAATGGAATTACCATGCAGGCTGAGGGTATCCTCCACCCCCAGAGGGCAGGAGAGCAAAGTGGTCCTCTTTCTGCCTAGGGGGAAAGGAGGACTTTAGACCACAAATCAGGTTATTTCCCTTCCCCCAGTCCAAGACTTCACTAATGATAACAGCAACTTTTTTTTTTTTTTTGAGGTAGGGTCTCACTCTCACCCTGGCTGGAGTGCAGTGGTGCGATCTCAGCTCATTGCAGCCACACTCTCACAGGCTCAGGTGATCTTCCCACCCCAGCCCCCGAAGTATCTGGGACGACAGGCGCATGCCATCACACCCAGCTAATTTTTGTATTTTTTGTAAAGACGGGGTTTCACCATGTTGCCCAGGCTGCTCTTGAACTTCTGGGCTCAAGCAATCCACCAGCCTCAGCCCCCCAAAGTGCTGGGATTATAGGTGTGAGCCACCACACCCGTACAACAGCAACTGTTAACTGACAGCTTTCTTTGTGTCTGGACTGAGCCTACAATCATCTTCACAACAGTGCTGTGACATTGGTGGTAGTGGCCAGGCACAGTGGCCCACGCCTGTAATCCCAGCACTTTGGGAGGCCGAGGAGGGTGGATTACCCAAGGTCAGGAGTTCGAGACCAGACTGACCAACATGGCAAAACCCCGTCTCTGCTAAAAATTAATACAAAAATTAGCGGGGCATGGTGGTGGGTGCCTGTAATCCCAGCTACTCAGGAGGCTGAGGCAGGAGAATTGCTTGAACCCAAGAGGCAGAGGTTGCAGTGAGCCGAGATTGGCCGTTGCACTCCAGCCTGGGCGACAAGAGTGAAACTCCGTCTCAAAAAAAAAAAAAAAAAAAAAAAAGGAAGAAAGAAAAAAAGAGAAATGGTGGTGGTATCCCTTGAATACAGATGTGGAAACTGAGGGTCCACAGCTAGGTCAAAGTACCTAGCTCAGGGCCTCCCAGCTTATAGGTAAGCAAATGATGGCCAGGAGCGGTTCAGGATGGTTCAGGCCTGTAATCCCAGCACTTTGGGAGGCTGAGGTGGTGGATCGCCTGAGGTCAGGAGTTCGAGACCAGCGTGACCAACATGGTGAAACCCCGTCTCTACTAAGTACAAAAAAATTAGCCGGGTGTGGTGGCAGGCGCCTGTAATCCCAGCTGCTTGAGAAGCTGAGGCAGGAGAATTACTTGAACCCGGGAGGCAGCGGTTGCAGTGAGCCAAGATTGCTCCACTGCACTCCAGCCTGGACAACACAGCGAGACTCCGTCTCAAAAAAAAAAAAAAAAAAGTAAGCAAATGATAGAGCCAGAATTTGAACTCTCGGCCTCTGTCTAAGCTGCCATCTTATAAGCTGTGTTTCCTCTAGCTAGACTTGCCCCTCTCTGGTTCTCAGTTTCCCCCTCTGTAGAATGGGAGCCCCCTGCCCGCTGCCTCTACTCCAGTCCCGCAGTTCCATGGCTCTCCACGGGCATGCCTTTCTACCTCCACAATACTGTCGTCCCAGAAGTCAAGTCGCACAGATTTAACTCTGCTGATGTCAGGGAAGTTACGGTGGACGCCGCAGCAGTTGAGACAGATGAAGATCCCCAGCTTGTAAGAGGCCCAGTCGGGATCTGCAGGGGATGAGGCAGGAGAGGAGCTGAGCGGAAAGCGCGGTGAAGAAACCAGGGCTGGGCTCGGGGCACTGGGGCAGGTGGGGCGCCCCTTCTCCCACCTAAGGCGAACTAAGCGGCCAGCCTGGCACCTTCTGGTTAGCCCACCGGCCGCTGCGCGGCGACCGGGGTGAAGATCCTGGAGGCAGTTCAGGGCCCGGGGAGAGAGTCTGAGGCTGCGCGACGTGGAAGTGAAGGGACTCAGAAGGAACCGAGAGGAGGGCGCGGGGGGCGCACCGCGGGGCTCGGCGCGGAGCTGCAGGTGGGGAGGCTGAGTTAGGGGGCCCTCGGCGTCCCCGAGGTGGGGCGCTGGGGAGGCCTTCGGGGGGCGTCTGGGAGCGGGCAGGGGGCACAGGACTGTCGGCGGCCTGGGCCCGACGTTTAGCCCTGGCTGGGATGTCTGAGTCCGAGGGCGTGGGGCGCGCCTGGGTGCGCAGACATCGAGAGCCCGGACTCGGGCGGTCGGGTGCCTGGCCAGGGAAGAGAGCGGGACTGGAAGGGCTCTAGGCTGCCGGCTCTCGTGTCCGGGTCCAAGCACGTGGGAAGATGCGCATCTGGTCCCGCGAGGGGAGCAGAGCCTGGGCTCGTAGGGGCCGGGGCAGGGTGTGGTGGAGACGGCCCTCGGGGCTCGGGTGAGAGGTTCACGGTGTGGGTGGGAGGGGTCGGGGCCCGCAGGTGCCACGTCTGGGTCCAGGGGGCCGAGGGCGGGACCCGGTGGGGCCGAGGGGAGGAGTCGGGTGGGCCTGGGGTCCGGCCGGGGGTCTCGCGCTGCCCGCGCCGCCGCGCCCTTACCTGCCGCCCCGCAGTCGGCGCAGTGCGCGTTGCCTGTGTCCGGCGCCCGCAGCAGCTCCAGCAGCCGCTTCTTGTTGCGCTCGCGATCGCCCATGGCCGGCCCGGCGGGCTCAGCGGGGCTCAGCCCATGGCCCGTGCGCTCCGCCCGGCAGGTGGAGAGGGACCCGGCCGCGGCGCCTCAGCCAGGCCTGGGCAGCCGCCAGCCCCGCCCCGCACCGTCAGGACTGTCCGCCCCTCCCTCGGCAGGTCCAGTCCGGCCCCGAGCTCCGCCGACGCGCGGGGAGGGACAGGAGCACGCAAATTGGAGTTTAACACACTGGCCTGAGATCAAATCGTGGCCTGTCACTTGGTAGCTACGAGACTGTGGACAACCTATTCAACCTCTGTGGGTCTCAGTTTCCGCGTCTATGAAAGAGGAACAAGGGCATATGTCTGCATCTCAGCGCTTCTTGGAAAATTAACCAGAATCTAACTTCTGTTAAAGCGTTCTGTTAATGTAAGATCTTACATCTATTTGGAGACGTATTTATATGCAAATGCCACCTCCTCAGGAAGCCCTCTGTGATACCCTGCCTGGAGTAATCTTTCCAGCCTCTGGGTCTCCAAGAATACTCTTGTAGTATCTGTCTATTTGTTTTGGACCTGAGCACTTTCTATCTACCTTGCATCACGGTTATTTATATACTTGTGTTAATTCCACTCTCTGACCGCAGACACATACACATGTCCACACCAGGGAGTTTGACGTCAGCAGTTTTATGTCTGTATTCCATATTGCTCCTATAAATGATACCTGCACATTTTTAGAAGTCCAACTAATAGTTGCATGATTTTGTTCACCAGAAAAGTGTGGTTTCACCAAGGTGGACACAGCCAGGCACTTTAACCTGTGAAGTTCCATCACCGCGAGGTGAAGGCAGGGTATAGGTGGTCTTAAATGTGGGCATTTCATTTCCTCTTTCCCTCTCTCCCATCTTTGTTACTGCTTGACATCATCTTCGTTACTCCTTGACATCATCTGCAATGACTCATGGGCCTCCTGGTGAAATATATACTGTACATACTTGCCATCTTCTATGTAGGTTAATACCTTAATGCACACAGATGCATTAAGCCATATGCATATGATAGACAGGTGTTAACCTTCAGGATAAAATCAGGTTTCCATCCTGGTGAATTGCAGCTGATGTTCTAGCTGACCTGCCCACACTCCCATTCAACATACATGCGGGCGCAAGCACACACGTGCACACACACGCACAGCAATATGGTGTAATGGAAT